>NW_003315957.1:0-104552 GCF_000001405.40 Homo sapiens | reverse complement strand
ACTGAAAGAAAGGGACAGAAAGCAATGGGACTCACATTCAATTTAGACACGCACATAAAATTTCAATAAAAATGAAAATAAATCCTTTTTAAATCTGGAGGAATGGTTAATCTATGATTATCCCCAAAAATATGATCTGAAAGTTTAATAAAATGATAAGATGGTAAAATAGCAATTCATGACACTCCTAGGCACATACATGCTCACAAAATCAATACAGTGTTCTCTCCAAGGTTGTACAAATCTTTATATAGATTTTAGAGCAAAAGGACTATATAGATAGGAAATAACCAGAAAGTCATTTGTTTATCTTCCTTAAAACAGTTCAGAGATGTCAATCAAACTTTGAATGACACTTGTCATACTCACTACTCACCTTACGTAGGTACTTTTCCCATCACTTTATCAATCCAGAGTTTGTTTAGAGTCACAAGAATAAGGATTCTTTGTCCAAGAAAAGCTGCATAACTAAATAATCATGATTTTGGTGAGGCATTTAGGTGTATATAAAATCCATGTTCCTTTGATTTTTTTGTATTAATGAATAACCTACTACAACATGATTAATTCATGTCATTTACAATTTGATCAGGCACTAGCATCTCTTGTGCATCCTACTAACAATAGCTAATAATAAATTAAGTGGTTAGGAATACAAAAGTAAAAAAAATCATATTGTACAATATCACTTATGTAGTGTTCATGCCAACAATATTTTACCTGTTTTCTAAAAATGAAGAAGAAAGCAAAGAAGAGAAATCCAGAATCCAGAATGTGGGAGAGTCTGCAGGACAACTGAGTTGGACTTTAAAAACATAATATTTTCATAAAAGACAAACAAATATACAAGGTATTTCTCTACATTTGATTAAAATAAAGAGACATGAAAATCAAATAGCCTGTGTGAGTCATAAGAAAAAAATATTGTAGGTGGTATTTTTGACACAATTGGAGACAATTAAATATGGTTCTTTGGGATGGAAAGATTAAGCAGCAATTCTCCCAGTACCAGTGGGTGTACCCAGGAATAAAGAAGGCAAGTGAACTGTCTCCTTGGAAACATTTCATTATTGGACCCTCTCACAGCAAGCTAATAGTTTTTGCTAGCAAGAGAGTTCTTATCATGAAACACTTTAAGAAGGATACACCTGGATGTCTGGGATTATTTACAATAAAGAAATTTGTATTCTGAGGGTGGATGGGGCATGGTTCTTTAGAAAGTATCTCACATAAGCTCACAGAACTTATGTAACTGAGTATAAAATGTTTTCATGACTAAATAGCTTTCTTCTATGTAGGTGATATGAAACGCATAACTTGCTTAGAGACTGCTATTGTACATCTAGGCCAGAGGAGAGCTCAGCTGATGGTCTCAGATCCCTCCCTCCTTTGCTCTCTCTCCTGATTACTTGCCTTTGAAACTGCTAGTAAATCAAGACGCATGTAAAATTGTGTTTCCTGTTAATCTGATTTGATTAATGATTCTTTGTGTTAAATAATACACTTGAAGTCATTGTTAAATCAATATTACATTTCTGTTGTAATAATATTTTACATAATGTCCTTCATTATTCTTTTAATATTTTCTATAACTGTAGCTGGCTAATCTTTCTCACTCCAAATCAGGTTGATCTTTTTTCTTTTCTTGATTCTTAACTTCCTCAAGGGATGTATCTATTTTAATAATCTTTTTAAATAATTAGCTTTTAGATTAATTTTTCATTTCAAAAATATTGTATAAAAAGACATATAGGCTATATGCAATACACAGATGACAAATCATTTGTGTATATTATATATGTAATTCTGGATGTCTAATGGGTTTTTGTTCTTGTTTTTTTTCCAATTTCTTATTGCTCTTTCAATTGTTTTACTTTTTATAATTTCTTACTGTTTTCTAGCTAGGTTGTTATTTCAATTATGTTCTTTTCTTTAGCACTTATCAACAAACAGGTTTCTAGTTTCCAATAATCAAGGTATTTAGGAAATTTTTAGTTATTTCTAGTTTTATTGAATTATGGTTTAAAATCTATGCTTTTTAAAACCCATTAAGATATTAATTACAAAACTATGCATGATCAATTTTCCCTAAGGAGGTATATACCCACAGTCACACAAGGTGTATACACACACTTACACAAAATAGTATATAGTATACTATATCATTTTTTAAATAATTTTTTTAGAAAAATTATTTCCACAATATCGCTCATGGAGCCTGTACTTGAATCCTTATATATATTCTTGAAATTTTGTTTTTTTGTTTGTTTGTTTATGTAGGTGTCACATGTCACCTTTGTCTACTCTATGTCACTATGGGCATTTTGTGAGGTTTGTACTCTTTGATGGTAGGATTTCCTTGTCTGTTCCTTGAGGTTTATAGTAGATGGTATCTGCCCCGAGGCTTGTAATGGAGGAGCTGGTAGTCAGGAGACTTCCAGGTCACTGTCCAGGCAAAAAAACTGAGCTTCTGCCTCCTGGGCTCCAGCTCGACCCCAGTCTCAGGTGGAGAGAAAACTCATCACACTTGCTGGCTGTCTTCTCTTTGGCTTAGGGTCAGGGAGTTCAGACATACTCTAAGGGAAAATGAGTGTTTTACTTCGCTTGGTGGATACACAGATATTTTCAGTCCAGCTATTCTGTGATCATTCTGGTGTTCTCTAATGCCTGTGTTTGCCCATGTTTCTGATACAGAGTGGTGAAAGTGCTGAGCAGGGATAGGAGGAAATTATTAGCCCTGGACTTGTTTTTCTTTCCTCCATTCCAGGAGAATGCAAATGTAGCAGTGACTCTTCTACTGTGCAGAGGAGGGCCTCTCCCTAGCGGGTGGAAGAGCAATGACATGGGCTTTTAAACCTCGATCCCTGAGTGACTTCACGGAGAAGAGCTGCATCATGACCCTGACCTGGGTGGAGGTGACACAATAAAAAAGTAAACATCAGTCCTTTGCAATACACTCCGTTTTGTGGTCCTTTTGTTAAATACATCTTAGTAACCAAAATGGTACACAAAAATGCCTCTTTCCTCACACTCTCTCACACTTTTAACAACAGTTGTCAAATAGTTTGATGTTTGCTAACTGCTCTGTAAAATTGTATCTTATTGTCATTTTCATTTCTTTCTTCTTATGAATGAGATTAGTAACATTTTATGTTGATTGAAATCATTTCTGATTTCAGAGAACTCTGGCATTTCCTTTAGCTATTTTTCTATTGGTTTATATAACTCTTGTTATTATTTATCTTCAGGAATATCAAATCACAGTGTCATATTTGTCATAAGTGATTTTCCCCATTTTTTTCATGTTTTATATATTTGTGATGATTTTTTGGCCATGAAGAAAATGGTGATATTTTAGGTAATGACCTTTATTGATCTTTCAAAACTGATTCTTGATTTCTGTTTATGCTTACAAAGATCTTCTATACTCCAGTGTTTTTTCAAAATTGGTATTTTCCTTTAGTATCTCATGATTTATTTTGGTTGATTTGCACAGTTGATGCCTCTGGAATTTATTTTGGTAAAGGTTTGTGAATTTGTGATTCATTCTTATTTTCTTCCAAATGGGTGCCAAATTGTCACAACATTTGTTGAATAATCCATCTTGTCACCATAGATTAAATGATGATTTTACAGTGTTAATATTACAATAAAATATTCAAATAAATATGACCCTGTAGAACAAACACAAGAACCCAACATTATTTGCACAAATAGTATAGAACTGTAGTTTAGGTCTGCTGCCCTGCATAATTTTTTAAATTATTAATTCAAACTTTATTGGGAGTAGATATTAGAATGGTGTTGAAGGAGATCAATAGAGAGCAACAAAAGTTTGCATTAGATCTCTGGACATAGTAAAAGGTTTCTATAGAAGATGTTTTGTGTTCTCACTTGTCTTCTCACTTTTACAAAATATTTATAAAATATCTATCAAATTCTTTGAACTTTTATGTTATTAACAGAGATCTGATTATTATTTCTTGAGTATTAATTCACAGTGTGAATTCACTGTGAATTGTTATCCACCTGTATTACGTCTAATGCTAGTTTTAATTCAAAACATATTTTGCTAAATTATGAAAGACAGAGTGTTTACTTGTTGATTTGTATTGATTTATCCTGTATGCTCCATAGATGAATGGCTCATACATGGTAATATGCTTCCAGAACCTTCATAAGTTTTTGGAAGTTACGTGAACTATTGTTGTATAAATTGACTTTATTCAACATCATCAATGGAGTGTGATCGCTACTTGCTTAGGAATGAAAAATGTAATATCATATCCAAATTATTCTTTTTCAGACAAATAAGGATCCTCAAGCTGCATGAAACTGAGAATAAATATTGTTAATCAAGCTTGCTACACTGGAGGCATCTGCCAATTAAAGCAGTTTAAATTTAATCGAAGGATCTATCAAAGAGAAGGGTGTATAAAAGTTTCTGTAAAGGAAATACAACCCACGAAAGAAAGTGTGCATGATGAAGCTGCAGTGGGCAATGGTTTATAGTGTGGAATGGGCTGAGGTTATCCTATGGAAACCCAGGCTGTGTTTTCGAAGCGAGGGGATGGTTTAGGGGAATATCATGTCTATATGGTAATCAAATACAGGATTTTGTCCAAGCAAAATGATTTGGAAGGGCTTCCTGATCGACTTTTAGATAATTAATACATACTCTTGCTCATAAAACTGATGGTTTCAGGCTCAAGAAGCTCGTGTCCCTAACCTCACCTTGCCCGCCAAACTGGCCCCCAAAGTCCGTGACAGGATCATTGGTAAGATACAAACCTGTGAACAATGGTCTCAGAGACATCTCTCCTCCTCCCCTGCCCCATTCTAATAGTTTTGAGGATAAGATATTGACATTCTTGGGAAAAAATAAATAAAAGAAACCTGGAAGAAGATTACTTCAGTGACAAATTCTACATTACCCATGTGAAGACGAAAGAAAGTTAATCTCTTTCTGTCCCTTTCTTAACAAAAATCAGAAATTTCATGCCTTTATTTCCTTCCATTTTTTCTCCTTTAAAATAGTTTAAATGTTTCTCAGCCTGAAGAGCCATAAATATAAACCTTGATTTTTTTTTCTTCTTTCTTGAACAACTTCACTGTGTGATAGGTTTTTGGCTACTTTTCCAAGAAACATCCTGTGAGTGTGTTTCTGAATAAGGCAGTGATTTATACTTACCCCAGTGTCGCCATAGGGCCAACTCTCACATCCTCCTCTTTCCGGAGCCACTAGTTCTTAGGCACGGCCTTACTGCTCTTATATTCCTCCTTTCTTTCTTTCTTTTTTTTTTTGATGTTCTTTGACTGTCCTGTGGGAGAGTTTGTAAAGCAAATTGATGTCATACTCTAGTCTCTGCAGTTTCTCCTAGTTGTTTCTTTTTATAAGATCTGTGCATTGATGACTTTCTTTTTTATTATTCCAAATAGAGATTTACTGTAGAAAATACAATAACTGCCTTCCCCTGTATTTTGGTGTCATGTACTCTTATTTTCTATTTTCAAATGTTGAATATCAAGAGAAGAGGGTGATGCAGAATCAAAAGAGTATGCCTTAGGTGGTGGTTTTGCAATGCTTGGAATAAAAAGAAAATGAGCTACAGTGCTTAATTCTAATTAAGAAGGGATCCTTAACTTTCCCTCATATAAGAATAATAGGTTTCTGATAATGTAGAATTTTTTGAATCATTGGTGTTTAAAATAGAGAAAATGTAAGTAGCATTATGACTGTTTTGAATAAAATCATATAATGAAAAAATGTGAATTGGTTAACAGCAAGATGTTAGCAAAAATAGCAAGGAGCCTAATTCATTTATTCATTCAATAAATATGTATTGAGCAGCTACCATATTCACACACTCTTCTAAGTGCTAGCAACACAGCAGTGAAGAAACACACAGGGTTCTTGCCTTGTAAAGGACAGGCATCTAGTAATAAACATTTAAAAGATCAGATATTGGGAGTACCATGAAGAAAAATGCAGAAGAAAAAGGGGTATAAAGGAAAGGCAGGTTAAATATGAAATAGAGTTGTGGGCAAAGGTTTTCTGATGCAGCATGCTTTGTTCAGACTCCTAAAGGATATCAGGCTGATTTGGGAAGAGCTTTCTTCATGACCAGAGAGATGTCCCAATTTCTGAATGTCTTGTCTCTGAATAAATCACCTGCTGTTTCTGAAAATGGGATGTTTTCTCTTAAAATAAACAGAACAAATAGCTGTTGGGCTCCCAGGCTAACTCACAAATCCTAAATAGTTACTAATTTAGCTGAGTTTGTGCTTGTTCCAATAAGCAGTTTGGAGAAGTAGTGAATAAGAAATACTCACAACACATTCAACACCTGTCCCCAAACATATCCTATATTACAGTGTCTGGGCAGAGGGAGCTCCACTCAAGTGAATTCAAAAACCGATTGACACTAAAATCCAAACAAAATTATGTTCCTGATCTGATGAAGAAAACAAGAAAAGAAACTGTCCGTTCTATCTCCCCCATGCTGATGGGCACACTTTTAATCTTGGGGTCCCTTACATGACATTCCAGGCTGTTTTCAGGAAATGTGCCTGACAGGTGGGGAAAGTCCATAGTCAATCTTTGGAAACGTCACCCTTGCAGAATGGGTGGGTTGGTGGCAATCTGTGAAAAGCAGCTGCCATGGGTAGCTTGCTTTCTCAAACCCGGCATGTACCCACACATCTAACTCTGTTCATGGAGTGTCTGCTGCTCTAGGATTTCAAATAGGTGCCACTCTCATCATCCTAATCTATGGCTCCTCTAGTTTCGGTGATCTAGCAGCAATGGGAGCATTTTCACAGGTGTTTTGCTACCATCCTCTCGACAAAAATGTTGTCTAGGTAAGTACGGTCTCCAATGTACAGATGGCAAAATTAAAACACAGATCAGTAAGTAAGCAGATGCTCTGCACATAGTGTATTAATTAGAGTTCTCTAGAGGGACAGAACTAATAAGATAGATACATACATACAGGGGAGTTTATTAAGGAGTATTGACTCGCACGATCACAAGGTGAGGTCCCGTAATAGACCATCTGTAAGCTGAGGGGCAAGGAAGCCAGTCTGAGTCCCAAAGCTGAAGAACTTGGAGTTCAATGTTCGAGGGCAGGAAGCACTCAGCACGAGAGAAAGATGTAGATGGGAAGACTAAACCGGTCTAGTCTTTCCACGTTCTTCTGTCTGCTTTTATTCTGGCTGTGCTGGCAGCTGATTAGATTGTGCCCACCCAGATTAAGGGTGGGTCTGCCTCTTCCAGTTCACTGACTCAAATGTTAATCTCCTTTGGCAACACCTTCACAGATACATCCAGGAAGGATACTTTGCCTCCTTCAATCCAATCAAGTTGACACTCAGTATTTACCATCACAGACAGTAAATATCAGAGCTGAGATTAAAATCCAGGGCCTGATCACTCCAAAGAGCACAGATGAATCTCTCTATCAGTGACTCCCAAATTTAAGTATGCATCAGAGTGACTTGGAGGTCATGTTGAACACACAGACTGCTGAGTCCCACCCCAGTGATTCTGATCCCATAGCTTAGGGCTGGGGCCCAAGAATTTGCTGTTCTAAGCAAATTCAAGTGATACTGGTGCCTCTGGTCCAGGAGCCTCATTTTCAGAACATCGACGCGTCCCACACTGACCCAGAGAATTTAGTTTGCTTTTAGAAATTTTGAAAGTTGGACTTTGAAATTATCACTTTTATTTTTTAATTTTAAAGTTTTTATTAACCTAGGGTTACTTTGCTATTGTGAGTTAATAATAAAAAAGACAGTGGCTCTGGGAACCATTTTTATTCTTTGAGGATTCTGCCATGAGGTGGAGTTGAAGCGACTAAATGTTCCACTGTTGGAAAGCAGCAATTACTTCTTCTAGAATTACAGCATCAAGGGAGTTAAGCAGTTCTGTCGCACCAAATACTAGGGGCAACAGCAGCTTGTAGAGTGTACTGAACTCTCAGGAGCAGCTTCACATAATCAGCATTATCAAGTCACTCTTGGGTAGCTCTTTCTACATAACCCGTTTTGATCTGGTGAATCCGGAATACTGATCTGGCAGCCAGCCAGGGCATAGACATTACAAAGCACTTAAGGATCTTAGAAGATACATTGCCAAATACTTTTTATAAGTGACTTACGACTGTTGAAGTTAAGTGAAAATGAAAAGGAGAACAAGTCTCTTGGGTCTTTTTCTCTAAAACACCATTTGCTGAAATGTCCCATCAGCAGATATGAATTGTTCCTGAGAAGCTGGAAGGATTCAACAAGGCGTACCCTGCAAAGATGTAGGCATCAAAGACATTTGTAATTTAACCATTAAGAGTCAGGCAGGTGCGATGGCTCATGCCTCTAATCCCAGCACTTTGGGAGGCCGAGGCAGGTGGATCATGGGGTTAGGAGTTTGAGACCAGCCTGATCAACAGAGTGAAACCCCATCTCTACTAAAAATACAAAAATTAGCTGGGCATGGTGTTGGATGCCTGTAATCCCAGCTAATCAGGAGGCTGAGGCTGAAAAATCGCTTGAACCTGGGAGCCAGAGGTTGCAGTGAGTGGAGATTGCGCTACTGCACTCCAGCCTGGGCGACAGAGTGAGACTCCATCTCAGAAAAAAAACCAAAAAACAAAATAGAGTCAATTCCTCATACTCTGTAGCTTAAGTAACTCGTATTAGTAACTCATGAGCAATGGATTTCTCCTAATACCCTCTGGGTGGTTAGTTGCAACCTTTTCTTGGACAGCACTAAATCTGAGGGTATCTTCAGTGTGACGGGAAGGAGGCAGGAAGAAAGCACTCTAAGTTTTGGAGAGAAATTGGGCTTTTCGTGAAGTGCTAGAGCATCAGCCCTGGCCATGGCCATGGTTCCTAAGATGCGGAAAAGTGCTTATTTTCCCAACTGTCTCAAACGTTGGTTTTCAAATATTTTGCTAATTTCTTTGGTAACCTAAATATTTTCCCTCACATTTAAATTTGCATCTTATGTTTCTTATCACAAGTTAAAATAGTTGTAAAGGGCAAATTTTGCAATGTTACATATTGACATTATGAACCACAATTATTTTATCTTATTGACATATATGCCATAGATAATAAATGCCAATGTCATTCAATACCATTTTATTTCCAATACCAGAGTCCTTGTAAAATTTACAGAAAAAAATCTCTTCTTCAGCAGTCAGAAAGTTTACATTGTTGCATTTTCCTTTTTGAATTCCTAATGGCATTTTATCTTCCCCACAATATCACATCATAATATAATATGCTTTTATTTTTGAAAATATTTTACTGACCATCTATAATGTTTCTTTGCAAATAGATGTATATATGTATGTTATGCATATATATATGATTTAAAATATTCTTGTGATCTTACATTGCTGTGAAATTTTTCTGCCCAATGGTATTACAGTATCACCATTATTATTCTATAAGGATAACCAAAATATCATTATTATTATTATTGGTATAAAGATAAAATGCTTAGTAAATACTTAAGCATAAAGAGCAAAATTTCATTGGAAATGCACCTTTTAATAAGATGGGAGGGATACACATGTACCTTAAGCAAAGGATTTTTTTCGGTTGGAAAATAAAAGTCTAGCACTCCAGTGAGGTTTACTCCCTGGGACAATGGCCATAACAAGACTCAGGAGAGCTTCACCAATTACTAGCTGTGTAATTTTGGACAAGTTAATTGATATCTCTGTGTTTAAGCTTCTTTATCTGCAATATAGAAATGGAAATAGTGCCTATCTTATGAATCATGAAAAGTACTTAAAAGAATGCCTAGTATATATCGTAAGTGTGACACAAGTTTTAGCTACTATGATTAATGCTATTATGAAACTTTTACCAAAACCTCACCTGCCTCTGGCCCTGTCTTGTCCCCTTTGCTTGGGTAATTACTACTCTTCACTATTATTTCTTAAAGTTAATTTTTATTTGGGAAGCATTCTCTTACTTATATCCTCTGAAGCCTTTATTCTCCATTCCACGGCATTGATCACAGCTTTGTAATGCCATGATTAAGAAATACTTTCTTCCATATGAACTGTGTCTTGGGAACATTTGCAGCCCCTCTACCTACAGGAAGGAAACTCTCCATATAAATTATTTACATGTATTTAAATGATATGTCCACAAGAACAGTTGACATTAAATTAGTATTAAGAAAGCAGCATGTTCTCTTTTGGTGTTACGTCTAGTTAAAGAATCATCATATAACTCTTAATGTATTATGTGGCATTCTTAAAAAGAATGATGGATTCAGTGGCTTTGGACACATAGGTTTCTACAAGGTGATGATACTTCAGGAAGAAACAAAGACACCCACTCTTTTGCATTTTCCTGGGAGCTGACCTCGTTTCTCATGAGTCATGGGTTAGCCTTCCACCCTATTTTCTACTTCTATCTAGAAGTCAACTTAAGGATTGTGGCCAGTGGCAGGTAACCTGGACTGAAAGAACTCTCACATTCCAACTGAGTAAGAAATGACTTAAAAAAAAATCAGAAGAACATTTCCAATGTCAACCATCATTCTATAGTGATATCACCATCAAGGCAGATCCAAGAGGACTTTGCTATGGGGTTAGGGCAGAGAGAGCTGAGCAATGATTTTTTTTTTTTTTTTTTGAGACAGAGTCTTGCTCTGTTGCCCAGGCTGGAGTGCATTGGCGCTATCTTGGCTCACTGCAAACTCCACCTCCCAGGTCCACGCCATTCTCCTGCCTCAGCCTCCTGAGTAGCTGGGACTACAGGTGACCACCACCACGCCTGGCTAATTTTTTGTATTTTTAGTAGAGACAGGGTTTCACCGTGTTAGCCAGGATGGTCTCAATCTCCTGACCTCGTGATCCACCCGCCTCGGCCTCCCAAAGTGCTGGGATTACAGGAGTGAGACACCGCGCCTGGCCTAAGCAATGATTTTAAGTTGGGTTCCATGATGTAGCAGCCAAAATTAGCCCTGATAAAAGCTCCTTTATAGCCAACTGAAATCTACATCTCAGAGAAACTATCCATACAACTTCCCAATAGGTTAAGCTGAATCTTCTTTTTCATTATTAATATCTTTTAAATTTCTGACTATTATGAGTTCTAAAACACTACTGATATTTTGATTAGAAAACGTGATGGCTTACTCAGAATACTTCAACAAGAATTTCAAGATAGTTGGATATAAGTTTTAGTTGGACAAATAAAAAGTCTTAGCATATATTCAAGACTGTATATAGCATATTTAATCAAGAGTCCTTGTTGAATATTATTGTGTAAACTTAAGGAATTCCACACCTCTTCAATTTCAGCTTAAAATATTTCAACTTCAAAGAATAATCATGTTAACTTCTCAGAAGTAGGATGATGTGGCTAGTTTTCTGTTATAATTGATCATGAATTATTTTGAATTGTAAACTTCCATATGGATATACATTTTGTATTAAAAAGTGACATAGTTGAAGTTGCCAATTTGCTTGGAGTTCCCCCTAAATTATATTCAACATAAATAAATAAACCCATCAATATATAAGTGTAAGAAATGTAAAATGGACTCCACAAATCACTAAAATTAAACTTCTATGAGCTAATGATACTCACTTAAGTGGTTTCAGAACTTGCTAAGACTGAAAAATACTGCTGAAGTCTTCTCAAATCTATGGGAAAAAGAAATAGATTTTTGTTTTGGATAATCAAATGTGTCAAAGCAATGGAAAATTCTCACTAATTTTATAATGGAAGCAAAGCACACAAAAATGAATTTCCTGTTTTCTTTCATGACAATTTGGCCCAGTGTCCCCGTGTATACTGTGGGTACCTACTCAGAAGTTTATAGGAGCATTGGCTCTCTGTACGTTACCTAATATCAAATTAAATTTAGTGTATATGAAGAATGTTATTTTATTCTCTGTGTATGCAATCTCTCTCTCACACACACACACTTACACACACACCAATTTTTATTGAGAATGTGAAATCCCTAGACAAAAGATTGAGGCAATAGTTTTCTAGAAATATTCAGGATAAAAGAAGGAAGGTAAAATATTTTTAGTTAAAAGTCCCTAAAATTATACAGGGTGTTACCATTCATTCTGTGAGAACCTATAATACAAAAATTAAGCAAAGAAAAAAATTTCTACTCTTCTTCTGGCATTGTAGAAATTAACTATTTGTTTGGTTTATCCACTAAACAGTAGTCAGAGCAGACCTACACAGTACAACTTTTCACCTATTGGGCCAAGCCAAGAACTTGCTCGTTTTCACTCTCATGGTTGTATCATTCAATGTCAGGCCAAAAAACTGATACGGAAAAACAACATTTTATTTATATGATGAGAAGTCAGGAATAATGGACAGCAAAGTGATACAACTACAAGCTGAAGTTACTGAATATCTATTAAAATTCGTTTATGAGCATAAGCCCAGGAAATAAGAAATCTGGTAATACTCTAACATTCACAGCATTTTAATCTTTATTTTCTACACTACTCAGTGTTGTCGATGGTTAATACGTTTAATACTTGAAATTATAACTTCAAAGAACATTAAAAACCTATAGCCCTCTAAAAACCATTGTTTATGTGTGGTAAATAAGATACAGAACGACCTATCAAGAGTCAGAGGTCCCAGCACGAGCATGTTGGACATAAGGAAGTCCAGCCTTGCGCAGAGAGGAGGGACCTTCACGCCCTGCATTCCCTGCCGGGAGCCTAGGACAGAAGACAGCTGTGAGGGGAGGAAGGAGAGGCACCCGGGAAGAAGTGTCCCATGCTCTTTCACTATTGTCTTTGGTAAATGTTAGAAATTCATTATAAGCAGGCTGGGCACGGGGGCTCATGCCTGTAATCCCGGCACTTTGGGAGTCCGAGACAAGTCCGATCACCTGAGGTCGGAAATTCGAGACCAGCCTGACCAATATGGTGAAACCCCATCTCTGTTGAAAATACAAAAATTAGCTGAGCATGGTGGCACAGGCCTGTAATCCCAGCTACTTGGGAGGCTGGGGCAGGAGAAACGCTTGGACCTAGGAGATGGAGGTTGCAGTGAGCCAAGATCGCACCATGGCACTCCAGCCTGGGCTACAAGAGTGAAACTCCATGTCAAAAAATAAATAAATAAATAGAAATTCATTACAGACATAATATCCATGACTTGTAGATTGAAATCTTTCAATAAATTATCTTTGACAAAGTGTAAGGAAACACCTACCCAATCAAGTATTTCTTTTAAGTCCTTAAAAAGTTTATATTATTTAAAATGTAAAGATATAATATAGAAATAATTACTTTAAATTTTATTAAAAGTATCTTTAACATTAGTCATTTTATTAATTGGAAACAATAAATAGTAAAGACTCTACATCCTGCAGAAAACTTCTCAATGTCATTAAAATATAAGTCACATGTAATTTCCTACATAGGGTAGGGTATATGGAATAGAATAAGAAATGATGTTCAGTTTATTGATTATAAATTACTTAGCAATCACTGAATCTGAAACATGATCTTTTTTGTAGTAATTTTAGTTTAGATTTCTTTAAGTGCTAATTCAGCACAATAATACAAAATTTCATTTTAATGTTAATGAGTCACACATTTTGAAGGCTTTAATTTCAGGAGTATTATCACAAGAGCAAGTGCAACGTGAACTAGCTTGTGCCTCACGTCTCTGGTGTATTTTTGATTTTTCCAGTTTTTTTTTCTGTAGATTCTATAGGCTTTTCTATGTTTACATGAACTTCATAGCTATTTTCATTTTATTTATTATCCTTTTTATTTCCTAAGATATGAATATACTCAAAACATTTTAAAGACATCACTAAATATTTTTTATTTAAAGAATAATTCCTTTCCAGGGACATGGATGAAGCTGGAAACCATCATTCTGGGCAAACTAACACAAGAACAGAAAACCAAACACCGCATGTTCTCACTCATAAGTGGGAGCTGAACAATGAGAACACATGGACACAGGGAGGGGAACCTCACACACTGTGGGGCCTGTTGGGGGGTGGGGGGCATGGGGAGGGAAAACATTAGGAGAAATACCTAATGTAGATGACGGGTTGGTGGGTGCAGCAAACCACCACGGCACGTGTATACCTATGTGATAAACCTGCACGTTCTGCACATGTATCCCAAAATTTAAAGTATATTAAAAAAAAAAAAGAATTGAGTGTAAAGACAGAAACTTTGTGTGTTAAAAAACAAGTTTAAATAAAGTAAGTACTGAAATTTGTAGAAGAGAGAATTCTAAAGGATACATTGATGTGTATATAAAATTAAAGAGAAGGATAAGGAAAATAAGTGTAGTAAGTATACACTAATGTCCAAAAAAACTAAATGTATTAGATATTGGCATGGGTTGCATATATGTACATACACTTAAAGCTGATTACTGGAAGTTTTTATGCAAGTGAAAAATATTATTTGTAACTTCTCAAGGCTCTGAGAATTAAAGTAGAAATTCAAATCATTTCTGGAAACCTAAACAAATCATGATATCTCTACCAACAGTCAAAATTTGAAAGATAGAATTAGTGGGAAAGCTTATTGTTTCACACAATAGGTTCTCAATAATGGCATGCAGAAATAAGTAGAATTAGTTTTATATAGTTGCATTTAGCAGAATAAAGATGACTATGGTTATCTTACAGAGAGATTATTGCCCCAAAGAAGATACATGTTTATAATCTTTCAGTACTCTTTTCTTAACAAATTACAGAATTATAACTTGAGTAGATATTCAGTTCCCACCAAAAAAAGGAAATTCAGTGGCTATTTTGAAAATAAAACGTCTAGGACTGGCACTTGTCTTAAACATTAAAACTGAAACCAAAAACTGTAATATTGGATTAAACAAAAGCCAAATATACTACTTAAAATGAATATACTGTAAACTGCACATGAAGATAATTAATAAACAGGGAAATAAGGCCAAAACGATAAAAAAGGGCAAATGTTATGATAATATCAAAAATTTCCTTAAGTAATGAAAAAATTAAAATCTATCAGGAAGAGGTAGTCACCTGAAATATAGCTTTAGTAAATTAAAAATAAAAACAGAATTATATGTGGATTATTGATCAATCTATAGTAACAGCTTGAAATTTTGTCATATCTTCAGGATTTGATTAATTAAGCAGAGAAAAATATTAAAAAGGATACAGAAGATGACACCATCCAAAATAATTTTACCTAATTGATCTACTTTAATATGCAATAACATACACTCATGGAACATACAACACTTTTTTTTAGTAACCACAAAATATTTATAATGGTGCATGTACTGAGATACCAAGGCAACTTTAAATATTTTAAGATAAACAATAAAATTTAACATAAACAGATAAAATAAACTAGAACTCTTTTAATTGCCTGAAAGAGCATCTCGAATATTGATTCATAATAGCTACTACAAAGCAAAAAGATAAGTTGTAGAATGAATAATATGGAGAACAGGGCCTTCTAAACCTAGTTAGCTCATTTCCTCCTGTCTGAACCTGGGTGCCCCTGAAAGTGGAACTTGAGACAAGAAAGTAATATTAGGGAGCAGAGTAGAGGTTTAGAAGAGGGAAAAAGGCAGGAAACCTAGCACAAGAGTAAATTACCTAACTACTTACCACGTAGAAAAATAGAGCTTGATTCTGAAAAAGTCTTCTGAAGATCCACATACAATTTATATCAGAAGTTTCAGTTATTAGGAAAAAATTAAAAGTATCAATTGCCTTCTGTCCTTCATAAGTCACTTGCTTGTGACTCCAGATGCTAGCAGAGTTCAGCAGGCATCTGGGGCCGCAGTATCATAGACTCTGAGCAGAGATGAATCCATGGTAGGTCTTAAGACTGTCATCTTCATTTGTTGAAGAGTCATCTACATCATTTAAGGCAACTTTTCTCTGGATGTTTTTAAGATTCCTTCTTTGTTTTACATTTTAACATTCTATAACGTACTTTTGTGGGTTTTTTTTTCTGTATTTACTCTGTTAGAGGTTACAGAGCTTTGCAAATATTTTCATTGAGAGTTTTAATACTTTTGAGGTGTATGTCACCTATTACATCTTCAAATGTTGCTTCTATCCCATTTTTGCTTTCCCTTCTTTTTGTCAGACTGTAATCACAGTTATGTTAGACCTTTCCATATATTTATCTCTTCCATTTGTTTCTGTATGTTTCCTGCTTTTATCTCCATACCTTGATGTGTAAATTTTCTTCTGATCTAGCTTTAGTGTACTATTGCTCTCTTTAGGTGTGTCTAAACTAATGTTAAAGTGATGTACTGACATATTTCTGTTTTATTTTTCACTTGTAGAATTCCACTTGATTATTTTGTACTGTGTTTTATTCTTTCAAAATATTCGATATTACTCACAGTTACTTTGAAGTTCTTGTTGGTTAACTGCAATATTGTGAAGTCCTGTGGCTCTATTTTTCCTCTTATTTTTAATCTTTTGAATTCGGTCAATGCCTATCTTTTTAATGCATACCCTTTTCTGATTAAATGACAAGCTGTGTCTGAAAAATTATAAAGACAATTGAAGAATCTGGATGATGTTGTTTTCTGCAAGAGAGGACTTATACTTCCAGCAGTCAGTTAGGATAAGGGCAGGTAATTTTGCTCCAAGTAAAGATTGAGCTACTTGAACCTGGCCTCAGTTTTTATGAGAACGGGCTTATCCGGGTTTGTTTCTGTTCCTACTGTGGTGATTATTTTATCTGAACTAAAAGCCTGATTTGTTTAGTGAAGCAGATTTTCTTGCAGAATCCTGAATTCAATTCCATTTCTACTTCTACCTCTATAATCTCTAACAAAATAAAAACAGAAATCTACAAAAGCACCTCATAGTACAACTGTGAAAATGTAAGACAAAGAAGGAATCTTAACAACAACCAGAGAAATGTTGAATTAATGATGTAGATGACTCCTCAACAAATGAAGATGACAGTCTGAAGACCTACCATGGATGCATCTCTTTGACACTGCAGAAAGCTCTACTCACAATTCCAGCTGCTTGTTAGGATGGGCAAATGCCCCAAAGACCAACATGTTGCCAAGGTCAGGACGCCCCTCTGTGGACTTCCTTCCCTCCATAACGATGGGTCCTATTGTCATGGTCACTTTGTTGGTGTGCTGATGCCTATAAATAGATTTTTGAAATTGCTTTTATAGCTCTTCTAGCTGTTGTTAGTGGGACAGTTGATCTTCTAGAATTAAACATAAAATTTAAAAATATTTGTTTTATAAAAAACAATCAAAATAGGTCAATTAACCACTATTCTTATTCATTTTCAGTAAACTCACATTTGTGTTAGAATGTGTAAGTAATAAAATGGAAGAATAATAATCCAGGATAAAAAGGTATTCAATCCTCATTTGACTGACAAATACATTTCAGAAGTGTTGAGTAGAATTTTGATCAATGTGCTTCGGGAATTTATCGGTGCTCAACTACTGAGTACTGATGCATGAAGAAGAATGCCAAGTACTTTAAATATTGTTTTCAATTAGCATGAGAAAAATAGGAATTGATAATCATGTCCAGAACAATATATCCCAGATCACATAATACATGTTAGTCTGGCAACATTTTGGAGACCATGCAATGCAAATTAGCTATCACATAGTGAAATAAGAGAAAATAAAAATAACTTGTTTTTAGGAAATCAAATAAATTAGAGCAATGACATTCTTTATTGAAACTGTGCACACATAAAAATAAGTAAGAATTTGGAAGATATGAATTCACTAAGCACATTTCTGATGCGTGATTGCTTTAATAATAAATTATTTTTTCTTAGTAAAAGGCAGGTCTCTTTTATATGTACAATTGCTTGGTACATGTGAATGATTGCTTAAATGGTGCCAATTACTTGACCCAGTGAATATGAAAAGAGGAAGCTTAAATTATTGGCCTCATAATAATTTTTATATAATAGGAAATTACGTATAAATTAACAAATGAGTCCAAAAGCTAAAACCATAAGATTCCCCCCCCCGCAATCCCACCCCTTGTCCGCTCACATTACTCTTCTAAGAGATTGGCATACTTCTCTAGACGCACTCTTGTTCTCAAAGTGGACTGATCCACATTTGTACCCTCCTGTCCTCTGTCCTGTGGTCAAAGACTCACGTGTCCCTTGGAATGTGTGGTAAGAGTTAGGACTAAAAGCCTACTCCAAAATATGGTCTGAGTTTTACTAATTTGATGCTGAGTAAATGAAAAAATATGTCAGAGTTTTCCATTTAAGAAACTTATCAGCTGAAATGCAAATAAAATGTATGTGACATACAATTTAAAACAACAAAACATTTATAAGGCACATGATAGTATGGGGTGGGTTTAGAGAAATTATATTATTCAGTACTTGGTACCTTTTAGCTGACAATGAGGTTATAGAGACAAATTATAACTAACTTAAAGCTTTTGTGAATTCTTTTACAATGTGGTATTTCATTTCTCAATCACCCTATAGTCAAAGTTCAAATTTGTAGATTACAGTTAAATAAGTCCTTATTTGAAGTCAGAGTAGTACTTCTTTTGAGTTAAAGGGGTTTTTAGTTCAGTTGTGAAGTTGAACATCACCTACAATGTAAGTTAAGAGATGGAGTGAGCAAAATAAAAGCCTAGAAATTGCATGCATACTAAAAGATATCTTGAAAACAAATCACATGTCAGTCCATGTGCTCATATTATTTAAAAATATTTTTTTCTAGCAGATCAATTGCTCATAGACTTGTAAAACAACAAATTGATATATAAAAGAAGACATTTATGGGCATTATTTTTTTTTAAGGACAGATTTCTAAGCTGGGCCCTAACCATGCCTCCTATTGATTATTTTGTACATAACTCATTTTTGGAGAAATCACTTTAATTATGTTTTTATTTTTCTGGATAAATTTTATTTCCTGTCCTCAGGGCCTCCACCAGTTTCCAGTTGAGCATGTACATAACAACGACCATGGCTGTACCACATATGTAAAATAGGTGCATAGAGAAAGGTACCCACAAACGTGAATAATTTTAGCAACTTTGGTTAACATTATAGCAACAAACTCCAATAATAAGCTTTTGTTGCAGAAATCCTGAAGTTTTATATAGATGACTTAAAATTCCATGTGTCAAGGGGTCTCCAAGACTACCCCCATACTGCATGATTCATTAGGAGGTCTCGGAACTCACACGCTCAACTCTTGGTTATAAGTGATTACCATGAAAGAACACAACGCAAAGTCAGCAAAGGGCAAAAATGCATGGAATGAAGTCGGAGGGAACCAATTGCAGGTATCCAAGAATCCTCTCGCAGTGGAGTCACGCAAGATGCACTTAATCCCTCAGGGCCATGCTGAGGGACAGCACATGAGAAATGTCTTCAGGTGATGCTCATTAGGATTCAGTCCCCAGGTTTTATAGGGCTGGTTGCTTAGCCATCCTGTGTGTACTACATGCCATAATTCTAGACTCTCAGAAGAAAAGCAGTTTGAGGAGAAGCCATATTGCTTGCATAAACAGTTTAGGGACAGTGAGTCACCCTTATCAAGGAATCATGGGAATTGTCCTAAAATCCGAGTTCCCAGACATCACCCAAGGGTCGAACTTGTTGGCAGGATTTTTTAAGTGAGAGCAGCCTCAGGCCTGCTCTGTCAACGTTCTTCTGCATGATCCCTTTGATTCTGTGGTCTTATTTCCCTTGTGATTTAAGTTCAATTCACATGGGATACTCATGTTCAGCTATTACAGATACATCAACTATAATAATGATAGAGAAACAATAGTGTATTATTATGTTATATATTATTTTAAAAAATTCTTAATGTAAAACCCAGGAAACAAGTTCTTTTTGAAAGGTAATTAGCAAAATATGGCAAGGAAATTTTCCTTCATACATCACTGATCACCGAGGTCTCAAAAGCAAGTATTTTACTCAAAAGTAATTCAGCTGCATTGATAATACTCTTCAGGTTTAAAAAATAATTTCTTCTTTGTATACATTTGCAAGAACTATTAAAAATATTCTATTCAAATGTGACAGATCTATTCAAGTGCTTTTGTGAAAAAATTTAGTAATACCTGTGATACATTAGAGATAATGGCTAAATTTATATCAGCAAGAATATTTTGAGCCCTCATAGAATAAATCAATAAGAATTGCCGCATAAATGAATTTTGGAAGTACTGATTTGTTACTTAACTGTGTGACATATCATTATGGATTATTAGAAGTTCAAGATCTCAAATTATTCATGTAATATTAGCTGCATGACCTTCTTATAAATGTCTACTCAGATGAGTTTATTTTTTGCCTTGACCTTTGAATTCAGGATATGTTTGATGATAATTATTCTCTACATGACACTGAAGTTGAGGTGGTAGTTAAAAAATGAATATTAACTGCACTAGCATATTCAGTTTTAGTACTAGCAAACTATTATTTTTGCCCTAACCAAGATTCTAAATATTTTTGAGAGTCAAACAATAGCAACAAGCATTAAGCTCGTCAGTAACATATGCATTTCAAGTAGAATAATTACTGATATCTGCTGTGACATTCAAACCACAAAATTTTATTGATTAAACACAATAGCGATGTATTTCTGACTCACACAAAAGTCTACATGGGTTTGGCAACTTTCAAAGGGATTTAGATTATTTTAATTTGGGGGTTTTACCATCTCGTCATGTCATCCTGAGTCCTCTACAGGCACTGTTAGAACACTGGATTTTTAACCCCTCAGCCCCAAAATGACAGCATCCCCATGTACAAACCATTGCCCAAATGGGTTGCATGACTGAAATCCAACTCCAAGGAAGTCTGGAGAAATGTAAGGGAGTGATTGGAATATTCAGTTACTGTGGTCTTTCCTATACTTATTCCTAATCTCTTTTTTCTTCTTTACACAGATCTTTTCAGATCACTTACCTTTTGTGGTTTTTATTTAACAGACACAAAAACAAGTAAACAGACAATTACACAGTTTATCTAGGTAACTGTCATGATAGAAGTTTTAATAGCATGCAGAAAAGTAGAGGCAACTGGTTTGCCAATAGATAGGGAAGTTTACCTAGAGAAAATGTCATTTGAAATAAACTCAATTCTAATCTTACAGCTTGAACAGCTATGCCACTCTACTGCTGTGTGCCATAACTGCCCACTTAGATGCTTTTTATTCAAAACAACATTTAATATTGAATATCAATTTATAAAGTATTCCTTTTCTCTTCAACTTTATTAAGGATACAAAATCAACTACAAAAATAAATATTGTTAAAATGTTTGTCCTACACAAAGCCATTGGCAGATTCAATGCAATTTCTATATAATATTATGAGACATCTTTGAAAAACTAAAACTATTTTTTAAATTTAGTTTTTGAGCTACTCTGTTATGTAGTTACTCTTATGCATAAATAGTTCTCTGCTTGTCCAAAAATAATATTAACTATTTAAAAATAATCAAGAATGACCAACAGAAATATTTAAAAGATTCAAGTGGAAATGCAATTCTAATACATTCATACATAGTGATCCGATCTAGCTTTTATATTAATAATATGTAACAATATTGTTTGGATATCAGTTCAGCTGCTACAACTGAATGGCCTGAAACAATAGTGCTGTAAAAAAAGGAACTGTTGTATCTATGCAAAAGAAATGAAAAAATATATATGTCTATAGGAAGACATGTACTCAAAAGTTCACGGCTACTTTATTCATAATAGTCAAAAATAAATGTCCATCAACACTTGAAAAGACATATAAACCATACAATTGAGTACTCAGCAATAAAAAGGAACCAACTACTGATACACAAAACAGCATGGATGAAACTGAAAATTATTGTGAAGAATAAAAGAAACCACAAAATCGCATACATACAAGGTACATGTATGTACATCATACTCTATGATTCCATTTGTATGAAATGCAGACTAGTGCATAACAACAGAGGGCAAAACTGTGGTTGCCTATAGATGAAGGCAGAGTGTGGGGTAGAGGTCTAAGGAACATGAGGAATCTTTTGGGGATGATGGAACTATTCTGCACCTTGACTGCCATGGTGTTTTGATGGATGAACACATTTGTCAAACTCACTCAGTTGAATACTATAAATTTACTTGGTAAATTGTTCCTTCTATTTTGGGTGGATATTTTTGCCAAAGCATGTAGCACACTGCCTTTGCATTGTTTTGGCCATTGAATGTAGAACATGCCTCTCTTTCCGGTGAGACTCTGAGCTACCAGGTTGCAAGAATAGGGGCTAATGGCTTTTTGAACCTAATGTTATCTAGCATCTTACAATATAATATTTGAATAATAGATACGTGTTATACTAGATGTTCAGGGATAGATAAGGCAAAACCCCTTTCGCTGAATAACTCAGAGATTTATGGCAGAAAGAGAAAAGGACATATACAACACACTGTAAGTTAAGTGCTGCTACTGTGGTCAGTGCGTGAATTGTGAAAGAGAGCAGACAGCAATAATTCTTCAAGGTTGAGTTAAAATTCCACTTCATTTGGAAAGCTTCAATGAGTGTTATAGGGAATTTTTTTTCTCTATTTTCAGTGTGTGTAGCAGTTAAAGATTATAGCATGTATCTTCTTCTAATTAAATACTGTAAGTCAGGTCTTCATGTGTGTCTCCATGAATATGAGCTCATAGCGAGCTACAAGCTTCTTTATAATTCTTTGTGTCTCTAGAAAAGCACAGTGCATTTAGGTGATGTCCAGTAACTGTGTCTTACTGATGTCTACGTACTCTTGATGACAATAATGAGAATCCATTTTACTAAAAGACTCCTATGCATTTGAAAGGCTAGTCTGCCAAAATGCATTATAAATAGCATGGTATATAAAAAGGTATATGAGGCTTAATGTCAGAATAATTACACTATGATTAACCCTCATGTCTAGATTTAAGACAACTGTGAAAATCTCCTAGAGGAACCTGGCATTTGAATAAGCTTTTGTGGTATAATTATACTTAAGTAAATATTTTATATAAGATTGAAGCAGAGGAACTGTATTCAGTCATGAGTCTGTGGATTAAAATACCAACATCCCTGCACTAATTTTGAAATGCAAATAAAAATTATCATTTTATAAGTAAAATTTACCGTGAATTATAAACTATATCAATTACATTCTGAATTATTTGGGAAAATTTTGACAACCTGAGAACAAAATACTTTATTGCACCTCCTGATAAATTCAGTAATGGTGGTGATCCTTGTAGTCACATCTATGAGAAAAATTTCTGCAAGTTGCAAAGAGAGCATCTGAGATTCCAGAAATATAGCTGCAGTGAGTGTGTTGATTCTTGTATTAGTCCATTTTCATAATGCTATAAAGAAATACCTGAGACTGGGTAATTTATAAAGAAAAGAGGTTTAATAGACTCACAATTTCACATGGCTGGGGAGGTCTTACAATCATGATAGAAGGAGAAGGAGGAGCAAAGTCATGTCTTACATGGCAGCAGGGAAGGGTGCATGTGCAGGGCAACTGCCCTTTATAAAACCATCAGATCTCATGAGACTTATTCACTATCACAAGAACAGCATGGGAAAAACTTTCCCCATTATTCAGTTCCCTCTCACTGTGTCCCACCCATGACATGCAGATTATCAGAGCTACAATTCAAGGTGAGATTTGGGTGGGAACACCACCAAACCATATCATTTCACCCCTGCCCTCTCCCAAATCTATGTTCTCACATTTCAAAGCCAATCATGTCTTCCCAACAGTCCCTTAAAGTCTTAATTCATTTTTGCATCAACTCAAAAGTTCATAGTCCAAAGTCTCATCTGAGACAAGGCAAGTCTTTTCCACCTATGAGCCTTTAAAATCAAAAGCTAGTTAGTTAATTTTTAGATACAATGGGTGTACAGGCATTGGATAAAAACACCCATTCCAAATGGGAGAAACTTGCCAAAATGTGGGGGCTACAGGCCCCAGGCAAGTCTGAAATCCAGCGGGACAGTCAAATCTTAAAGCTCCAAAATGATCTCCTTTGAGTCCATGTCTCACATGCAGGTCATGCTAATGAAAGTGGAGGGCTTCCATGGCCTTGGGCAGCTCTACCTCTGTGGCTTTACAGGGTACAGCCCCACTCCTGAGAGCTTACATGGACTGGTGTTGAGTGTCTGTAGCTGTTCCAGGCACACGGGGCAAGCTGTCAGTGGATCTACCCTTCTGTAGTTTAGAGGACAGTGGCCCTCTTCTCACAGCTCCACTAGAGAGTGCTTCAGTGGGGACTCTGTGGGAGCTCCCACTGCACATTTCCCTTCCATACTACCCTAGGTTCTCGATGAGAGCTTCGTCCTTGCAGCAAACTTCTGCCTGGACCTCCAGGCATTTCCATACATCCTCTGAAATCTAGGCAGAAGTTCCCAAACCTCAATTCTTGACTTAAACATACCCACAGGCTCAACACCACATGGCAGATGCCAAGGCTTGGGGCTTTCACCCTCTGAAGCCATGGTCTGAGCTGTACCTTGGCACCTTTTAGCAAATGCTGGAGAGGCTGGGATGCAGGGCACGAAGTCCCTAGGCTGCACACAGCAGGGGGGCCCTGGGCCTAGCTCACAAATCCATTTTTTATTCGTAGGCTTCCAGGCCTGTAAAGAGAGGGGCTGCCGTGAAGGTCTCTGACATGCCCTGGAAACATTTTTCCTACTGTCTTGGGGATTAACATTTGGCTCCCCATTACTTATGCAAATTTCTCCAGCTGGCTTGAATTTCTCCTCAGGAAATGGGTTTTTCTTTTCTATCAATTCAACAGGCTGCACATTTTCTGAACTTTTATGTTCTGTTTGTCTTTTAAACACAAGTTCCAACTCCAAACCATATCTTTGTGAATACATAAAACTGAATGCTTTTAACAGCACCCAAATAAACTCTTGAATGCTTTGCTGCTTAGAAATTTCTTCCACCAGATACTCTAAATCATCTTTCTCAAGTTCAAATTTCCACAAATCTTTAGGGCAGGGGCAAAATGCCACCAGTCTCTTTGCTAAAGCATAACAAGAGTCATCTTTGCTTCAGTTCCCAACCAGTTCCTTATCTCCATTTGCAACCACCTCAACCTGGACTTTATTGTCTATATCACTACCAGCAGTTTGGTCAAAGCCATTCAGCAAGTCTCTTGGAAGTTCCAAACTTTCCCACATTTTCCTGTCTTCTTCTGAGCCCTCCAAACTGTCCCAGCCTCTGCCTGTTACCCAGTTCCAATGTTGTTTCCACATTTTGGCATATCTTTATAGCAGCACCCCACTCCTGGTACCAATTTAGTGTATTAGTTCATTTACATACTTCTATCAAGAAATACCTGAGACTGGGTAATTTATAAAGAAAAAGAGGTTTAATGGACTCACAGTTCCACATGGCTGGGGAGGCCTCACAATCATGGCAGAAGGTGAAGGAGCAGCAAAGGTACATCTTACATCGTGGTAGGTAAGAGTGTGTGTGCAGGGGAACTTCCTTTTATAAAACCATCGTATCTCATGAGACATATTCATTATCATGAGAACAGCATGGGAAAAACCCACTGCATGATACAATTACTTCCCACTGGGTCCCACCCATGACATGTGGGGATTATGGGAGCTACAATTCAAGATGAGATTTGGGTGGGGACACAGCCAAACCATATTCATTTTTATGCTACTGTACCTCAGCTTCAAATACATCTTGATACACTTTGCTTTAGGATGCAAGAACCGGCCTCTTCAAACCACATTTCTTCTTTTACCAATACATAGAATCCCTTCTTTGAGCTTCTGCATAATATCATAAGTAGATATTTCAGTAAACATCTGTGTTCCTGCTTAAAAGGCATATCTTTCAAACTTGTAAATTCTAAAAATAAGCCAAACATTTACCTTTTATCCTTCCAAACTTTTACAGATTTTTTGCTTTGTGCATTGCACCTGATGACTTTTTAATGTCTTATTTTTAACCTTTGCAGACCTCAAAAGCTGAATAACGTGTATGTATATATGACATTCTTCCCTAAATTGTAAGACAACTGGTATGGTTTCAGTGTCCTAATTGGACCCTGCTTCATATAGCTAGGTAGGCATCTTGTACATGAATGTAGAGTGTGCTATTTGAGCTCTACTACCTACATTCAGTGGTTGCCAGACGAGTGGTTCAGTGATAAAGGCTGCAACATCAGGTGAGTGAGACATGGGTTCCAATCCTTTTTCTTCCTGTCACATGATCCTGGGTAAGTTATTTAACTTCTTGCACTTCTTGCATCCTTAACTCTCTAAATGTGTAATAAATGTGTTTAATGATAATTAGATTGAAGATTTAATACAATTAGCAATTGTGGATGAAAACTCTGAGCACATAATTATTGGCAATCATCCCTTCTGCAGTTAGAAATTACTACTTCCTGTTTATCTATAGATTGTCTTTTGTGATTTCTACAATCCATTATTAGTCCTCTGTGATAATAAGTTGTAGGTTCCTGTTTGAACTCAGATAGAAACCCAAGCTTCCACCTGAATATCAGGAGAAGATTCCCTTCTGGGTTGCATAAGCCTTAGAAATGTCTCTATGATCCTACTGTACTGTGGCCATTGGTTTATTTCTTTTAAAATGAGATGGTGAGGTCCTTGTGGCCAGAGAAGATGTGTCATTGGCATATCTGTCAGTTTGCAGTAGACTTTATCACTCCTAACTTAAATTAGCTGATATCCCTAGGCCTTAAATTAAAAGCCTGCACTTGACTGTAATGCGCCAGTTTAATTCAGGCCACATTCACCGTATGAAATGTTAGAGTTGGATAATTTGAACTGCTAGGTTTTTGCTCAGCCTCTTTTCTGCCTCAGCCTCTGCTGTGTCTTTACTAGGCTAATAAGAAGCCAGAGGCATAAGGAAGCCCTTGAGCCAAGGACATCTTTCCAACTTGTCCAGTGGGTTTAGAGAAATAAGAGGTAATGTTAAAATTGGATTTTATATTAGTCACACTTTAATAGTCTATTGCTTTGAGTAAGTGAATACTCATTTACAGAAAAAAATATTTTCTTATCTTTGGATCTGGAAATCAAGTTTTGATTGGTCTAAAAGCCTCAATCGTTTTCTAAAAAATCTTTAGTTCTATAGTGAGCATATAGTTGCCTTTCAAGAAACTTTGGAGGAAAGACAGGCTAGAAAGGGTAGAAGACAGAAATTTAATATTTTCATTTAATTAAATAAATTAAAAGGCAGATGAAGGAAAGAAGGAAGGGAGGCAGGCAGGGAGTCTGGTATTTTTCTCCTGAAGATTGTTGTGTTTTGTTTTGTGTGTCTGTTTGTTTAGTAGCATGCCTGGGCTAAAGCAATGAAGTATACATTTTCTGTATAAGTAGCCATAAGTTTTTTTTTATTTGTATGTACTTTTATTTTTACTTTTATGTAGGAATTTCTAGGGGTTAGCTAATGATCGGAAATAATTTGTGCTGAAATTAGTCCAGCCAGTAAGACTTCCATCCTCTGCCGACAGAACCTTTTGTGAGTAAGGGAAACATTAAAAAGTTAGGCTTCTTTTGAGTCTGCCTCCTGTATAACTTTCCTTACTTATTTTTTAAAATAAATGTGTTATTTTAGGGTATCTTTAGGTTTAAAGAAATGCTGCCAAGATAGTAAATGGAGTTCCTATATAATTCATACCTAGTTTCTTGTATTCTTGACATCTGACATTAATAGGGTACATTGCTCATAATCAATAAGCTTACTATTGATGCATTATTAATAATTAAATTATTCACTTTGTTAAAATTTCCTCAGTTTTTACCCATTTCGGGATCTTGTACAAGACATCTCCTTTAACCATGAAGTCTCCTTTGGCTCCTCTATACCATGAGAGTTTCTCAGATTTTCCTTGTTTGGGATGACCTTGACCATTGTGAAGAGTACTGCTCGGCTATTTTATAGAACATCCTTCATGTTAGGTTTGCGTGGTGTTTTCCTTGTGGTTAAACATGGGGTTGTCAGTTCCAGAAGGAAGGCCATGGAATCAAGCACATTCTCCTCACCTCACACCACAGGTACATCCTAATGACAAGCCTTATCGCTGTTGATATTAAACTTTACCTCCTGGCTGAGGAAGTGCCTGACAGATCTATCCAGTGTGTGGCTACTCTTCTTCCTCCTTTCCACATTGCCCACTTTGGGAGAGAATCCTAACATGCAACTGACACTTAGGCAGTAGAGATTTGGGTCCCGCCACCTTGAGGGCAGAATGTCTACGTAAGCTATTAGGAATTCTCCGGCATGAGTGATGTATCTCTTCTCTCCCATTTATGTACTTAATTACAATTTATTCATCAGCATAGACTCACAGATACGTATTTTACATTTGGGGTTGCAACCCAAGAGTATTTTTTGTTGTGTTGCTCAAGTCGTCCTAGTTCTGCCTGTTAAAACCCCTTTCTGTGGGATCCTTTATTCGTGGACATAACCCCATTATTGTATTTTTTTCTTGAGCAACTCCTTTTTTTCTGGTACTATAAGATGCTACAGGCTCATATTCTATGTTCTCTTCCCCAGCCCTAAAACAAGCCATTTCTGCAAGGATTCTTATTTCTCTTTTTAGAATGGTATTACAAACTAGCATCTGAGCACTGAGTACTCAGTGGCCCAGTTACCCTTCACTGGGCCCTTCCAGGTCTCGTCTGCTCATGCATTACACTTCAAAACCTTGAGGCCATAAGCATGTGAATATCTTTGTCCCCCTTTGGTCTTGGCTGTTTATGTGCTCAGCTTCAGCCAAGACTTGCTTGCTCCAAGTGAGAAGGTGACCTCGGGCTAACAGAGCCTAGAATTTGGCCCTTCCTCTCTTGCCTGCCTCCAAGAAGTCACTGCCATGGACAGAGCTGCTGGGCATGGCCATCACCTTTTGTTGCCAAATGAGCCAGCCCCTGATAACTATTGCAGAGAATCAGCTCTATTCACTGTTTGCCATGCCCTAGCAGAAACTTGGCACTGCCAAGCTGGGAGCAGGTGTGGAAGCACCCCCAGGCCAGAGTACCCTAAGCTCCCACTGCTCTTTCTAGATGCTCAGCATCTATGATGGAATTATGAGATGTGGCCTTTGGGAGTCGATTATGTTATGAGGGTGGAGACTTAATGGATTGGATTAGTAGCCTTATAAAAGAGTCCCAAGGGAGAACTTTTGCCCCTTCCACCACGAAAGGACTCAGTAAGAAGACTCTGTCTATATACAGAATGTGGGGCCTCACTAGACAATTTTTTTTTTTTTTGAGAAGGATTCCTCCTCTGTCTCCAGGCTGAAGTGCAGTGGCACGAACTTGGCTCACTGCAACCTCTGCCTCTCAGGTTCAAGCGATTCTCTTGCCTCAGCCTCTCAAGTAGCTGGGACTACAGGCATGTGCCACTACGGCCAGCTGATTTTTGTATCTTTAGTAGAGATGGGGTTTCACCATGTTGGCCAGGATGGTCCTCGATCTCTTGACCTCATGATCCACCCACCTCGGCCTCCCAAAGTGCTGGGATTTTTGGCGTAAGCCACCACGCCTGGCCGACACTGAATCTTCTGGAATTTTTATCTAGGACTTCTTAGGCCCCAGTGCTGTGAGAATTAAATATTTGTTGTTTATAAACCATTCAGTCTATGACATCTTGTTATAGCAGCCCAAATGGACTATGACACTGCCACTTGGGCATTTAGATCCAGCAGATGCAATGGAGATCCTGGTATTTTGTGGTAATGAGGAAGTGGTGTGGCATCTCTGGAAAGCCCAAACAGCAAAGCTAAAATGCAGACACTATGATTCTGGAGCTAGATATACAATGCCATCTTTAGCAGAGTACATTCCAAACCTTGCTTCTGGCAGACTATGAGGCCCTGAGAGAGAATAAGAGACTGAACTCCTCACCCCAGGGAGCCAAGCGACAGTGTAAGTGGAGCTGCTCGTCATCAGATGGTTACAGCTACACCCCTCAATATGACTTGATGGTCAGGCAGGCTACAGGAATCCCTCATGCAAGGGACATTGCACATTCAAAATCAGGCTTAAGCAGGCTGAAGGACAAAATGACATCACACAAAAAGGTAGTCCAAACCTTCATGCTATCTGCCCTTGTAGCACTGATATTTTTCACTCAGCTCACCCCTCTGGCCCTATGGTGATGAGAAGGTTCTCTTCAATTGCCTGATAGAAAACACCTCGAGCCTCAATTAAGAATGGGATATAAGTAGCCATAGATAGATAGATAATTGCAGGTCAAAATGCACTGTATAGCATCAACTTTGCATTCAGAGGTGAGCCTGACAGATCTTGGTGAGGACATCCTTCCCCTAGGCAAAGATGTTAGCAATACATATTGTCATCAGCTTCATATTTTGGGAGAAGGGACATGTGATAAGGAAAAAAAATCCACTCCTGGACAGTGAGGAATAATTTGGCTGGGAATTCAGGAGCGTTCAAGGAGCAAGGTTGAAAGATTGGAGATATAAAGTTATGGAAAAGCGATGCGTGCATTCAGCAGCAGAGACTCAAGTTGATCCTTGATATGGCACCAATCCTGGAGGAGACCAGCTAGCCATGTGATGATAGTCTTTTTTGCCAGACACTTTCCACCTTACAGCAGGAAGTGTGTGTCCTCACGGAGAAGGAGTCATGTCCTGGGATTGCCTTCCTTCCCTGCAGTGGCAGAGCCAGCCACTGCACTATGCAGTGCTGTGTGCATACTCACAGATGGAAAATTGTCACAGAAACTCATCCAGCATCATTTAGACAAAGAAATCTGCTTTATGAAGAAGGTGGGGCTTTATGAGCAATGTCTTATTAGATATAGAATATACTTTGACCCAACAGCCAGTAGAAGATAACAGAAAAAGCCTATTTGGGTAATTTGGGCTTCCTGTCCTCTCAACTTCAGGCTCTGGTTGAACAGGGGTCCTGGCTCCCTAAGAAGACATGCTGGTCCCAGGGACATAGAAAGTGACCCACAAAATTCAAAGTTATGGCCAGATCCGGTCATGCTGGGTTCCTCATGATAGTGGGCCATTAGGCAGAGAAAGAGTTAATATACTGCTGGGCAATTGACTGACATTTTGAAGAGGAGAGAGGTTTGCTCCTTCATGATGGCAGCAGGGAGAAGTATCCGGAACTCAGCAGGTCCTTTGGGTACCTGCTGTGGGCTTCCAGTTCCAGAAATAACTGTAGATATGCAGTTGCTGCAATGGTGGCCAACAACATAATAAACAGGTGCAGAAACCCTGAGGCACTGTTTCACTGTGCGAATAGCATCCATCAGCAAAGTGTTGGCTGAGGGTGAGAGTTATGCAGAGTTAGTGAAGGAAGAATGAGAGGATGACTCTAAGATATGATCCTGAGATTAACTGGAACAGTGGGAAGCATAACTTGATCCGTTAACACTCTCTGGTGAGGCTTTTTTTTGTATCCAGCTACAAGGGTTTAGAAGACTCAGTGACAGTTAACCCTTAACTGGGTCTGAGTGTGTCAAGGGATGGTCGGGAGCAGATGTGGTCTACGCTCTACCCAGGCTTTCAGCTCTGCAATGTGAGGGCACTGCTCTAATAGCAGGAAGCTTCAGTTAATACTGAGTCATGCAAAGTGAGCACTGTCTGTTGGCTAAATAATTTTTCAAAGATATTACATATATATTATGTATATATATTGAGACCGAGTCTCGCTCTGTCACTCAGGCTGGAGTGCAGTGGTGTGATACCAGCTCACTGCAACCTCCCCCTCCCAGGTTCAAGTGATTCTCCTACCTCAGCTTCCCAAGTAGCTGGGGCTATAGGCATGTGCCACCACACCCAGATAATTTTTGTGTTTTTAGTAGAGACTGGGTCCCATCATGTTGGCCAGGCTGGTCCCGAGCTCCTGGGCTCAAGTGATCTACTCGCCTCAGCCTTTGAAAGTGCTGGGATTACAGGTGTGAGCCACCATGCCCAGCTGATATTATATCTTTTTAAGGCATATTTTTGATAAATTTCCCATGAGATTCTATAATTATATTAAATAATTTAAAAATGAGTCAAAGGGTTAAAAATGGCAGTTATCCTGCTGTTGTGTGTTTGTCTGAGTTTGGAATTGTCCCTATTTCTATGTGGTGTGCTTCCTTTTAGACTGTAAGATTCTGGACAGCCCAGAGTAATTCGGTTTTAAAATTAATACTCTTTAAATTAGCACTTGGTAGGTTATTTTCCATAATGAATTTCCTAAAATCAAAACATGGCTGCTTCTGGCTTGAGATTCCCATTGTTTGCAAGCCTGGATCTTTATACTGGCTCATCCTAGAGTGAACATTAGAAAATCAAATACCTTTCTGTGTCCGTAAACATCAATCAAACAACAAACGTGGTTTATCAGTATCATCGACTGTGTGTTTGGCTAACCGTGCATACAGAGTGGTTATAAATTACTGGAGAGAAAAGATAAGTTGAGCATCATGAAGTCTTGTGGGTGACAAGGCAATGGAGAGAAGGTGTCTGTGGGCTGGGAGCTCAGTTAAACATCCCCTCCGTTCGGGAGTGGGACAGCCCAGAGGCAGTAAGAAACAGGACAGAGAGTGTGCAGGGGAGCACCATACATGGCGGGGCAGCATGAGCACTGCTTTCGCGGTTACGATGTATAAGGTGCTCATTCACTCCACTGATGTGTATTACATAAGTCCTGTGAAAAAAAGAATGCACGGGTTGGAAACAATTTTACAGACAAGTTCAACCAGTTTGGTACCTGTTTGCACGTTCTGAAGAGTATTCAATTCCTCTTGTACATCTTAAGATGCTTCAGCTTCAGAATCATGAAAGCTGAGCCTTTTATTTGATTCCACGGTATTGATGAATTTGACATGAAAATTCTATGAAATAGTATACTTTTAAGTAATCATTTCCAGTGATTTTATGTATGTGTGTGTGTGTGTGTGTATATATATATGTGTGTGTATATATATATATATATGAGTATATATATATATAAGTATATGAGCCAATGGGTCTGGAGTGGATTTTTGTGTGTGTGTGTATATATATATATAATTATATATAATAATCACTTAGAATGTACTGATTTATATATAATATATACTACTACTAATATATGTATTACATATCATATATAATAATATGATTAATATATTAATAATTAACATAGTTTAATACAATAGGTATATATTATACATATAATATATGTATATAATAATGTATGTAATATATGCATATAAGATATGTTACACACATTATTTATAACATATGTGTAAAATAGCATATATTATAATACATAACATAATTTACATAACAATATATATAAATCAGTTCATTCTAAGTGATTATTTCATCATATAATTTGTAGTCAATTATTTTATATATGTGACAAATATATATATATATATATTTTTTTTTAATGTTTTTTTTTTTATTATACTCTAAGTTTTAGGGTACATGTGCACATTGTGCAGGTTAGTTACATATGTATACATGTGCCATGCTGGTGCGCTGCACCCACTAACGTGTCATCTAGCATTAGGTATATCTCCCAATGCTATCCCTCCCCCCTCCCCCGACCCCACCACAGTCCCCAGAGTGTGATATTCCCCTTCCTGTGTCCATGTGATCTCATTGTTCAATTCCCACCTATGAGTGAGAATATGCGGTGTTTGGTTTTTTGTTCTTGCGATAGTTTACTGAGAATGATGGTTTCCAATTTCATCCATGTCCCTACAAAGGACATGAACTCATCATTTTTTATGGCTGCATAGTATTCCATGGTGTATATGTGCCACATTTTCTTAATCCAGTCTATCATTGTTGGACATTTGGGTTGGTTCCAAGTCTTTGCTATTGTGAATAGTGCCGCAATAAACATACGTGTGCATGTGTCTTTATAGCAGCATGATTTATAGTCCTTTGGGTATATACCCAGTAATGGGATGGCTGGGTCAAATGGTATTTCTAGTTCTAGATCCCTGAGGAATCGCCACACTGACTTCCACAATGGTTGAACTAGTTTACAGTCCCACCAACAGTGTAAAAGTGTTCCTATTTCTCCACATCCTCTCCAGCACCTGTTGTTTCCTGACTTTTTAATGATTGCCATTCTAACTGGTGTGAGATGATATCTCATAGTGGTTTTGATTTGCATTTCTCTGATGGCCAATGATGATGAGCATTTCTTCATGTGTTTTTTGGCTGCATAAATGTCTTCTTTTGAGAAGTGTCTGTTCATGTCCTTTGCCCACTTTTTGATGGGGTTGTTTGTTTTTTTCTTGTAAATTTGTTTGAGTTCATTGTAGATTCTAGATATTAGCCCTTTGTCAGATGAGTAGGTTGCGAAAATTTTCTCCCATGTTGTAGGTTGCCTGTTCACTCTGATGGTAGTTTCTTTTGCTGTGCAGAAGCTCTTTAGTTTAATTAGATCCCATTTGTCAATTTTGGCTTTTGTTGCCATTGCTTTTGGTGTTTTGGACATGAAGTCCTTGCCCATGCCTATGTCCTGAATGGTAATGCCTAGGTTTTCTTCTAGGGTTTTTATGGTTTTAGGTCTAACGTTTAAATCTTTAATCCATCTTGAATTGATTTTTGTATAAGGTGTAAGGAAGGGATCCAGTTTCAGCTTTCTACATATGGCTAGCCAGTCTTCCCAGCACCATTTATTAAATAGGGAATCCTTTCCCCATTTCTTGTTTTTCTCAGGTTTGTCAAAGATCAGATAGTTGTAGATATGCGGCATTATTTCTGAGGGCTCTGTTCTGTTCCATTGATCTATATCTCTGTTTTGGTACCAGTACCATGCTGTTTTGGTTACTGTAGCCTTGTAGTATAGTTTGAAGTCAGGTAGTGTGATGCCTCCAGCTTTGTTCTTTTGGCTTAGGATTGACTTGGCGATGCGGACTCTTTTTTGGTTCCATATGAACTTTAAAGTAGTTTTTTCCAATTCTGTGAAGAAAGGCATTGGTAGCTTGATGGGGATGGCATTGAATCTGTAAATTACCTTGGGCAGTATGGCCATTTTCACGATATTGATTCTTCCTACCCATGAGCATGGAATGTTCTTCCATTTGTTTGTGTCCTCTTTTATTTCCTTGAGCAGTGGTTTGTAGTTCTCCTTGAAGAGGTCCTTCACATCCCTTGTAAGTTGGATTCCTAGGTATTTTATTCTCTTTGAAGCAATTGTGAATGGGAGTTCACTCTTGATTTGGCTCTCTGTTTGTCTGTTGTTGGTGTGTAAGAATGCTTGTGATTTTTGTACATTGATTTTGTATCCTGAGACTTTGCTGAAGTTGCTTATCAGCTTAAGGAGATTTTGGGCTGAGACGATGGGGTTTTCTAGATAAACAATCATGTCGTCTGCAAACAGGGACAATTTGACTTCCTCTTTTCCTAATTGAATACCCTTTATTTCCTTCTCCTGCCTGATTGCCCTGGCCAGAACTTCCAACACTATGTTGAATAGGAGCGGTGAGAGAGGGCATCCCTGTCTTGTGCCAGTTTTCAAAGGGAATGCTTCCAGTTTTTGCCCATTCAGTATGATATTGGCTGTGGGTTTGTCATAGATAGCTCTTATTATTTTGAAATACGTCCCATCAATACCTAATTTATTGAGAGTTTTTAGCATGAAGGGTTGTTGAATTTTGTCAAAGGCTTTTTCTGCATCTATTGAGATAATCATGTGGTTTTTGTCTTTGGCTCTGTTTATATGCTGGATTACATTTATTGATTTGCGTATATTGAACCAGCCTTGCATCCCAGGGATGAAGCCCACTTGATCATGGTGGATAAGCTTTTTGATGAGCTGCTGGATTCAGTTTGCCAGTATTTTATTGAGGATTTTTGCATCAATGTTCATCAAGGATATTGGTCTAAAATTCTCTTTTTTTGTTGTGTCTCTGCCCGGCTTTGGTATCAGAATGATGCTGGCCTCATAAAATGAGTTAGGGAGGATTCCCTCTTTTTCTATTGATTGGAATAGTTTCAGAAGGAATGGTACCAGTTCCTCCTTGTACCTCTGGTAGAATTCGGCTGTGAATCCATCTGGTCCTGGACTCTTTTTGGTTGGTAAGCTATTGATTATTGCCACAATTTCAGCTCCTGTTATTGGTCTATTAAGAGATTCAACTTCTTCCTGGTTTAGTCTTGGGAGAGTGTATGTGTCGAGGAATGTATCCATTTCTTCTAGATTTTCTAGTTTATTTGCGTAGAGGTGTTTGTAGTATTCTCTGATGGTAGTTTGTATTTCTGTGGGATCGGTGGTGATATCCCCTCTATCATTTTTTATTGTGTCTATTTGATTCTTCTCTCTTTTTTTCTTTATTAGTCTTGCTAGCGGTCTATCAATTTTGTTGATCCTTTCAAAAAACCAGCTCCTGGATTCATTGATTTTTTGAAGGGTTTTTTGTGTCTCTATTTCCTTGAGTTCTGCTCTGATTTTAGTTATTTCTTGCCTTCTGCCAGCTTTTGAATGTGTTTGCTCTTGCTTTTCTAGTTCTTTTAATTGTGATGTTAGGGTGTCAATTTTGGATCTTTCCTGCTTTCTCTTGTAGGCATTTAGTGCTATAAATTTCCCTCTACACACTGCTTTGAATGTGTCCCAGAGATTCTGGTATGTGGTGTCTTTGTTCTCGTTGGTTTCAAAGAACATCTTTATTTCTGCCTTCATTTCGTTATGTACCCAGTAGTCATTCAGGAGCAGGTTGTTCAGTTTCCATGTAGTTGAGCAGCTTTGAGTGAGATTCTTAATCCTGAGTTCTAGTTTGATTGCACTGTGGTCTGAGAGATAGTTTGTTATAATTTCTGTTCTTTTACATTTGCTGAGGAGAGCTTTACTTCCAAGTATGTGGTCAATTTTGGAATAGGTGTGGTGTGGTGCTGAAAAAAATGTATATTCTGTTGATTTGGGGTGGAGAGTTCTGTAGATGTCTATTAGGTCTGCTTGGTGCAGAGCTGAGTTCAATTCCTGGGTATCCTTGTTGACTTTCTGTCTCGTTGATCTGTCTAATGTTGACAGTGGGGTGTTAAAGTCTCCCATTATTAATGTGTGGGAGTCTAAGTCTCTTTGTAGGTCACTCAGGACTTGCTTTATGAATCTGGGTGCTCCTGTATTGGGTGCATAAATATTTAGGATAGTTAGCTCCTCTTGTTGAATTGATCCCTTTACCATTATGTAATGGCCTTCTTTGTCTCTTTTGATCTTTGTTGGTTTAAAGTCTGTTTTATCAGAGACTAGGATTGCAACCCCTGCCTTTTTTTGTTTTCCATTGGCTTGGTAGATCTTCCTCCATCCTTTTATTTTGAGCCTATGTGTGTCTCTGCACGTGAGATGGGTTTCCTGAATACAGCACACTGATGGGTCTTGACTCTTTATCCAACTTGCCAGTCTGTGTCTTTTAATTGAAGAATTTAGTCCATTTATATTTAAAGTTAATATTGTTATGTGTGAATTTGATCCTGTCATTATGATGTTAGCTGGTGATTTTGCTCTTTAGTTGATGCAGTTTCTTCCTACTCTCGATGGTCTTTACATTTTGGCATGATTTTGCAGCGGCTGGTACCGGTTGTTCCTTTCCATGTTTAGCGCTTCCTTCAGGAGCTCTTTTAGGGCAGGCCTGGTGGTGACAAAATCTCTCAGCATTTGCTTGTCTATAAAGTATTTTATTTCTCCTTCACTTATGAAGCTTAGTTTGGCTGGATATGAAATTCTGGGTTGAAAATTCTTTTCTTTAAGAATGTTGAATATTGGCCCCCACTCTCTTCTGGCTTGTAGGGTTTCTGCCGAGAGATCCGCTGTTAGTCTGATGGGCTTTCCTTTGAGGGTAACCCGGCCTTTCTCTCTGGCTGCCCTTAACATTTTTTCCTTCATTTCAACTTTGGTGAATCTGACAATTATGTGTCTTGGAGTTGCTCTTCTTGAGGAGTATCTTTGTGGCGTTCTCTGTATTTCCTGAATCTGAACGTTGGCTTGCCTTGCTAGATTGGGGAAGTTCTCCTGGATAATATCCTGCAGAGTGTTTTCCAACTTTGTTCCATTCTCCACATCACTTTCAGGTACATCAATCAGACGTAGATTTGGTCTTTTCACATAGTCCCATATTTCTTGGAGGCTTTGCTCATTTCTTTTTATTCTTTTTTCTCTAAACTTCCCTTCTCGCTTCATTTCATTCATTTCATCTTCCATCGCTGATACCCTTTCTTCCAGTTGATCGCATCGGCTCCTGAGGCTTCTGCATTCTTCACGTAGCTCTCGAGCCTTGGTTTTCAGCTCCATCAGCTCCTTTAAGCACTTCTCTGTATTGGTTATTCTAGTTATACATTCTTCTAAATTTTTTTCAAAGTTTTCAACTTCTTTGCCTTTGGTTTGAATGTCCTCCCGTAGCTCAGAGTAATTTGATCGTCTGAAGCCTTCTTCTCTCAGCTCGTCAAAATCATTCTCCATCCAGCTTTGTTCCGTTGCTGGTGAGGAACTGCATTCCTTTGGAGGAGGAGAGGCGCTCTGCGTTTTAGAGTTTCCAGTTTTTCTGTTCTGTTTTTTCCCCATCTTTGTGGTTTTATCTACTTTTGGTCTTTGATGATGGTGATGTACAGATGGGTTTTCGGTGTAGATGTCCTTTCTGGTTGTTAGTTTTCCTTCTAACAGACAGGACCCTCAGCTGCAGGTCTGTTGGAATACCCTGCCGTGTGAGGTGTCAGTGTGCCCCTGCTGGGGGGTGCCTCCCAGTTAGGCTGCTCGGGGGTCAGGGTTCAGGGACCCACTTGAGGAGGCAGTCTGCCCGTTCTCAGATCTCCAGCTGCGTGCTGGGAGAACCACTGCTCTCTTCAAAGCTGTCAGACAGGGACACTTAAGTCTGCAGAGGTTACTGCTGTCTTTTTGTTTGTCTGTGCCCTGCCCCCAGAGGTGGAGCCTACAGAGGCAGGCAGGCCTCCTTGAGTTGTGGTGGGCTCCACCCAGTTCGAGCTTCCCGGCTGCTTTGTTTACCTAAGCAAGCCTGGGCAATGGCGGGCGCCCCTCCCCCAGCCTCGTTGCCGCCTTGCAGTTTGATCTCAGACTGCTGTGCTAGCAATCAGCGAGATTCCGTGGGCGTAGGACCCTCTGAGCCAGGTGTGGGATATAGTCTCGTGGTGCGCCGTTTCTTAAGCCGGTCTGAAAAGCGCAATATTCGGGTGGGAGTGACGCGATTTTCCAGGTGCGTCCGTCACCCCTTTCTTTGACTCAGAAAGGGAACTCCCTGACCCCTTGCGCTTCCCAGGTGAGGCAATGCCTCGCCCTGCTTCGGCTCGCGCACGGTGCGCGCACACACTGACCTGCGCCCACTGTCTGGCACTCCCTAGTGAGATGAACCCGGTACCTCAGATGGAAATGCAGAAATCACCCGTCTTCTGCGTCGCTCAGGCTGGGAGCTGTAGACCAGAGCTGTTCTTATTCGGCCATCTTGGCTCCTCCGACAAATATATATTATAAACCAATATATACACCGTAAAAGCATTGCTTTACCTACACATTCTACCTAGAAAATAAAACTTTAAAATGCTGGTTTATAGGCCAAGAGCAGTGACTCATGCCTGTAATCCTAACACTTTGGAAGGCCAAGGTGGGAAGAGTACTTGAGTCCAAAATTTCAAGACCAGCCCGAGGAATATCGAAAGACCCCATCTCTATAAAAAATTTAAAAATTAGCCAAGCATGGTGGGCTTGAGGTGGGAGAATCTCTTGAGCCCAGGAGATTGAGGCTGCAGTGAGCTATGATTGTGCCATTGCACTCCAGCCCAGGCACTAGAGTGAGACTCTCTCTCTCTTTAAAAAAAGAAACGGTTTGTAAGTATATAACTTTGAACACATTCAGGTTTATCCTGGAGAAGCTATAGACATGTAAAATTAGGATACAAATTACTAGGTTTCATATAATATATAGTTAATATAATTACCTTTTTTAGTTACTTGTCTATTTTAAAGCAGATTTAAATGCAGATTTGTTTTCCAAATGAAATGCTATACATTTGGAAAATTTCTACCAGAAAAAAATCATGTCTCCTTGATTTAAATGACCTTTCTTATGCTATTTAACATAAGCTTACTAATCATTTATGAGAATATAAGAATATGCATAGAATAGAATGCTCTATCAATAATAATTTTGAAAATAATATCGTTGACCCCAAAATTATTTTTTGAATTATGTAATTTTAATGTTGGAAGGAATTTTTGAGGTTTTCAATATAGTCATTTAAACAGTATAGTATATTTTCTAGAAATACATGCTTATAAATTCTGTAGACTTAAAAATAATTATTTTGATAGAATCTATACAAAGTGCCTCATTAGAAAAATGAAGATGTCATTTTTGCAGGCAATACATGCCATATTTGAGTGTGTTACTCCAACCCATATCTGTAGAGTAACCCACACAGCTACCTGCTGTGAGCGAGGCCTGGAGCTAGAGAAGGCTCTGCAGCAAGTTCAGGCTGCAGAACAAGCTTCTGTATCATGCCAGCAGCACCAGCAATACCCCAGGTGTCTGATGCAAACAGAGAGGCTGTATGGAGCCTCTGGCAAGCACCAATAGAGTCACCGCATGAACCTTGAGGATACTGGAACAAATGTGTGCTCTTTTCTGCAAATAACAATTTTCTTTTTGGGATACAACTTTTGGCTTGCTACTGGGTCTTGTGGAAACTGGACACTTAACCAGGGTGACCGTATGACCTGAGCTTCCATCACTGAGTGGCTGTTGTTTGACCCACCTAGGCATACGTTTGGGTGCCTAGGGTAGCAAGCTATCATCGAATGCAGTGAGGTAAATGACTGACCTCAAGCAGGCCCTGAAGGTACAAATAAGTTGCAAGAACAGGTAGTTCAGACTCTTTCAACACAAACCACCGTTTCATGGTCTCTTCACTCCCAATCCAAGTCTGTGGCTGTCTAGTTTATGGTAAATAGCTGGGAAACCACACACTCAAGCCTGTTTTATAGATGGTTTTCCATGATCTACTGGCACTACTCTAACAGGAGTAGCTGCAGCACTGTAGAAGTACTTGGGGGTGAACATGAAGGCCAGAGATGAAGGAAAATTTTCCCAGCAGGAAGAACATCGAGTACATTTGATGGTCCAATATTTCTGGAGTGAAAGGTGGACAGAAGCACTAATTTATAATAACTTATAAGGCTATTGCTAATGGTTTGGCTGGGGGTGGTCAGGAACTTGGAAGAAACAAGATTGAGCCATGGCCCAAGATCTGTGTTGGCCCCTTTCAGCCATGGCTGGAGCAGCTGGGACAGAGGGCACCAAATCCCTAGGCTGCACATAGCACAGGGACCCTGGTCCCGGCCCTGAAACCATTTTCTCCTAGGCCTCCTGGCCTGTGATGGGAGGGGCTGCCATGAAGATCTCTGACATGCCCTAGAGACATTTTCCCAGTTGATTTGGGGATTAATATTTGGCTCCTCGTTACTTATGTAAATTTCTGCAGCTGGCTTGAATTCATTCTCAGAAAATAGGTTTTTATTTTTTATTGCATTGTCAGGCTGCAAATTTTCCAAACTTTTATGCTCTGCTTCCCTTATAAAATTGAATGCCTTTAACAGCACCCAAGTCACCCCTTGAATGCTTTGCTGCTTAGAAATTTCTTCTTCTAGATACCCTAAATCATCTCTCTTAAGTTCAAAGCTTCACAAATCTCTAGGACAGGGACAAAATGCAGCCAGTCTCTTTGCTAAAACATAACAAGAGTCACCTTTGCTCCAGTTCCCAACAAGTTCTTCATCTCTATCTGAGACCAACTCAGCCTGAACTTTATTGTCCATATTGCTATCAGTATTTTGGGCAAAGCCATTCAGCAAGTCTCTAGGAAGTTCTAAATTTTCCCACATTTTCCTGTTTCTTCTGAGCCCTCCAAACTCTTCCAGCCTCTGCCTGTTACCCAGTTTCAAAGTCGCTTCCACATTTTTGGGTATCTTTTCAGCAGTGCCCCACTCTACTGGTACCAATTTACTGTATTAGTCCATTTTCACACTGCTGATAAAGACATACCTTAGATTGGGAAGAAAAAGAGATTTAATTGAACTTACAGTTCTACTTGACTGGGGAGGTCTCAGAATCATGGCAGGAAGTGAAAAGTACTTCTTACATGGTGGCATCAAGAGGAAAAATGAGGAATAAGCCAAAGCGGAAACCCCTGATAAACCCATCAGATCTTGTGAGACTTATTGACTAGCATGAGAATAGCACCAGAAAGACTGGCCCCCGTGATTAAATGACCTCCCCCTGGGTCCCTTCCACAACACGTGAGAATTCTGGTAGATACAATTCAAGTTCAGATTCGGGTGGGGACACAGACAAACCATATCACTCCCCAATATAGGATTATTCCTGGGTAGAGTAGCCTGACACCTGATGACAGGTGGATGGCATGAGGCCTCTGTCATCCCAAAATGATGACGATTTCCTCCCTAGAATACAGCCATGTTGTAGCGATGGAATTGCTTTCCCTGCTGGCGCCACCGTCTGTGAAGTCACAGAAAGCTGGGTTTGCCCTCGTGGTGTTCTTGATATCGTGTGAAGTGTCGAATTCATCTCCCAGTGAGAGAAACACATCTTAAGAGCTAGGCTGCTTCAGGTTGAGTCTCAGTGAAGACCTGAATAATGTAAGAAAAAGAAAACAACGTGTGAAGATCCAGGGGAAAATCTTCTCAGTCAGAGGGAAGACCAAGTGCAAAAATGCTGAGGTTAGAAAAAAATTAGCATGTTTAAAAAATGAAAAGGAAGTCGATAGGTCTGGAGTGGACTGACCAAGGAGACGTGGTTTAGAAGTGAGTTGGGAATGAAAAGCAGGGGCAAGGTCATAAGGGAATTTTTAGGTGGTGTTTCCTGTTGTTGTTGTTGCTTTGTTTTGTTTAGTTCAACTCTACAACTCTTTGGTGTGGTCATATCCACTAATGAGATAAAAACTGAAATCAGTGAACCTAATATCAAGCAAATGGCTAACTGGCCTCCAGAGAGATCTCATTCTAGGTTGTCAGCAAGTAACTCCACACATAGAGTTCTTCTCCTCTGTATTCACAATACGACACTCTGCCCTTGTGTTTCCTAAAGGCAACAAAATTTAAAATTACAGAATGATCCCTAAGCTAGAGACATGTGCCCATCAGAGAAAAAAGGAGACTAAACATTTCTTAAATCTCTACTCTTAAACTTCCAAATAGAAGGGATATATGGGGTTTCTACTATTTCACATATTTTTATGTTTCTTTCAAGACAATAAATTGTCTGGTAAATTATTTAAAAGGATATATCTATATTATGCATGGAAACTGTTTCCATAGCTCAAACAGAAGTAAGTGCTTGAATTCGCAGCAGTACTTAATGTCTCCCAAATAACTGTATTCCGAATAATAGTGGGAGCAGTTTGACTCCAACCGAGAGGATAATCTCCTTTAACATTTCATGCACTTTTTTTTTTTTTTTTTTTTTTTTTTTTTTGCCAGATACCATATCATGTTTATAAGGAGCACGTCTATGGGAGTTACTATTTGGTAAGTCCTGAGTGTTTAACCTATACCTCCATGACTCCTCACGATAAACCAATGTGGACATTATTATCATGATCTTCTTTTCACAGATAGGAAACTGAAGCACTAAGAGACCAGGTAACCAGCCCAAGGTCACACAAGTTATAAATGGAAGTAGCATGGCCCACATCTAAGCAGTCTGGCTTTAGAATTCTTGATTTTTCTGGATCCGTCAGAGAGAATGCAGATAGACTTTTGAATGTTTTCAAGTATAGCTTTGATGCTGACAAAAATAAGCATTGGTAGTGACAGATGGCTTTAAAATTTTAATGCTTTGGTGATTTTTATTGAAAACATAACTCAGCTTGACATAGATGTGAGAAGGAGCATAGTGGAGAGAAAGTGGACGGAGCATCTGATTCAGGAGACTTCACTGCAAGTCCTGGAACAGCCACTGGCTGGTGATCGCCAGAAAATTATTGTATTTCATTCTCATCTCTCAGAAGGAAAATATATACTTCTCACTAAATACCCAATGACCGTCTTTTATAGATTTTTTTGTTTTTGTTATTTTAATATTTGCTTTTTGTGTTTCTCTTAGGTTGACATTTAAGTTTCAGTATAACAACAAAAGAAATGTAATGGTAACTGACACATTTATGCAGTTTAAACTTGGAGAATGCTATAAATGTTAAACATTAATTCATCAATTAATTACAATCAATTTAAAGATTGAGGCACACCCAGATATTCTTGTGAGGACAAACTAAAGCAGGAGTGGTTTGCAACAGAAAGACCAGACTGGTCCCAGTCAGGGCTACACAGTATTTAAGGGTGCCCTGGCCCCTTAAGCTTCCCTTCTGTGCTCACCTCCACCCCTCCAGGACTTTTATGCCTGGGGGCTGCCCACACACAACTGCTCCAACACTACAGCCGGCTCTTCCAATAGCACAGACATTGCTTTCCTAAGTTCCACTCTGCCCTTGAAAATCCCTACTCAACAGGGCCCCGGCAGTGAGCCCAAGAGATAGACTACCATCCAGCAATTCTGTTCAGTGGCAGGTAGGACAGAATAGTGAGCTGGATTGTATGAATCTCAGACAAACCCTTTGGGGAAGTGATTTGAAAAAGCCAATGTCATAGTACCCTCCAAAATGTACCGCATGCATAGACATCAGTGCATATAGATACACATTCTGGAAATAGACTTTAGCATAGGCTACCGGACAAAACTAATAACACACCACTAAACAAGAAGTCCACAGACCCAAATGTCGTCCAAGTTGGACCTTTGCTTGTGTGATCTCGGGCAAGTCATATCAGTCCTTTGAATACCAGTTTATTTACAAAAAGCTACCATTTATCCCTATGAATTTATTTTGAGGATAAAAAAACTCCTCAAAATTATTGATTGATTATTTTAAAACAAGACAGTGCTATAATTTATTCATTAAAAACAAATAAAATTCTCTCTCTCTTTTAATATAAAACAATTACTTGCACCAATGACATTAATAGCTAAAAATTTAACATACAAATATAATTTTGCAAAGTCAAACAGAGATTAATCAAGTAATTCTTGGGGAAAAAACCCATCAAATCAAATATGTTAGCTAGAATAATATTGATTTAGAATAAATAAGTCACTTAAAATGGATATTAAACAATGCTAGTCAGATAATTAATAATTATGCTTCTTAAAACACTCATATAATACTTAGCTATTCTTATAACACCCTAAACATTAAACGTCCTCACATACTCTACCCCCCAGCTATTTTTTTGCATTAATGATAATATACTGATATACTGAATTTACTAGTGGATACATGTGCAACACAAATATATTTTGAAGCTCCCATGGCATTTTAGATGTAAGTAGCCTTGAATATTAGAACATAAAAATGGTACTAGAAGGTATACGATGAGAAGTACCTTCGTCTTAAAAAAAAGAAAAGTGCACAAGGATGTAGGTGCTCTTTCAAGTTGGATTAGGTCTCTCCGAAGTAGGTCAGTCTAGCCCTGTATATCCACAAAACCTTAGAAGGTGAATATAGAAAAAAAGAGCTAAATCCTGTGGCATGCATTAATCTCGGCTGAAGCTGAGGAGAGATACTTCAAGATGTCCCCAATAGTTTCTTTCCTAAAACAGTAACACATATTTAATACAATAGTAGGGACAGAATTTTGAATTCTTTCATTGACAAAGATTTACCATGAGCACATTTTTAAAAAGTTTTTTTACTTTAAAAATAGCTTAATGATTCATCACCAAGCAGTATAGTGTTTACCAAGTTGTCGATCCCCCAAACACCCATAGCTGGGTGACTACCTGAGTTACATATTAGAGACATAAATTCCTAGGCCCCATTCTCACAACTTCTGATCCAAGGGGGTCTGGTGTAGTTCTAGGAATCTGCATTTTAGCAATATTTCTAGTATCTTTCATGAAATGAAACTTGAGAATTACTGACTTCGCTATTATGGTTAGATACGAGTTTAAATACAGCTGTGCTGTACAAGCTGCAAAACCTTTGGATAAACATTTGACTGTCTTAGACCTCCGTGTAGCCATTTGAAAAATAAGCCAAAATATTTTATTCATAGGCCTGTAGTGATGTACACATGGGCAATCCTGTAAAATCTTTATCTTTTTGCTGGCTACCTATTGTGTACTCAGCAGGTGTTGCCATTATTATTAATCCTATTTAGTCTTTTCCATTAAAGTTAGTATTAAAGAAAATCAGTGTATTCTTTTTTTTTTTTTTTACTTTATTTAGTGTTTTTTTCTCTTGTTCCTTTTTTTTTTTAATTATACTTTAAGTTTTATGGTACATGTGCACATTGTGCAGGTTAGTTACATATGTATACATGTGCCATGCTGGTGCGCTGCACCCACTAACTCGTCATCTAGCATTAGGTATATCTCCCAATGCTATCCCTCCCCCCTCCCCCCACCCCACCACAGTCCCCAGAGTGTGATATTCCCCTTCCTGTGTCCATCTGATCTCATTGTTCAATTCCCACCTATGAGTGAGAATATGCGGTGTTTGGTTTTTTGTTCTTGCGATAGTTTACTGAGAATGATGATTTCCGATTTCATCCATGTCCCTACAAAGGACATGAACTCATCATTTTTTATGGCTGCATAGTATTCCATGGTGTATATGTGCCACATTTTCTTAATCCAGTCTATCATTGTTGGACATTTGGGTTGGTTCCAAGTCTTTGCTATTGTGAATAGTGCCGCAATAAACATACGTGTGCATGTGTCTTTATAGCAGCATGATTTATAGTCATTTGGGTATATACCCAGTAATGGGATGGCTGGGTCAAATGGTATTTCTAGTTCTAGATCCCTGAGGAATCGCCACACTGACTTGCACAATGGTTGAACTAGTTTACAGTCCCACCAACAGTGTAAAAGTGTTCCTATTTCACCACATCCTCTCCAGCACCTGTTGTTTCCTGACTTTTTAATGATTGCCATTCTAACTGGTGTGAGATGGTATCTCATAGTGGTTTTGATTTGCATTTCTCTGATGGCCAGTGATGATGAGCATTTTTTCATGTGTTTTTTGGCTGCATAAATGTCTTCTTTTGAGAAGTGTCTGTTCATGTCCTTTGCCCACTTTTTGATGGGGTTGTTTGTTTTTTTCTTGTAAATTTGTTTGAGTTCATTGTAGATTCTGGATATTAGCCCTTTGTCAGATGAGTAGGTTGCGAAAATTTTCTCCCATTTTGTAGGTTGCCTGTTCACTCTGATGGTAGTTTCTTTTGCTGTGCAGAAGCTCTTTAGTTTAATTAGATCCCATTTGTCAATTTTGTCTTTTGTTGCCATTGCTTTTGGTGTTTTGGACATGAAGTCCTTGCCCATGCCTATGTCCTGAATGGTAATGCCTAGGTTTTCTTCTAGGGTTTTTATGGTTTTAGGTCTAACGTTTAAATCTTTAATCCATCTTGAATTGATTTTTGTATAAGGTGTAAGGAAGGGATCCAGTTTCAGCTTTCTACATATGGCTAGCCAGTTTTCCCAGCACCATTTATTAAATAGGGAATCCTTTCCCCATTTCTTGTTTTTCTCAGGTTTGTCAAAGATCAGACAGTTGTAGGTATGCGGCGTTATTTCTGAGGGCTCTGTTCTGTTCCATTGATCTATATCTCTGTTTTGGTACCAGTACCATGCTGTTTTGATTACTGTAGCCTTGTAGTATAGTTTGAAGTCAGGTAGTGTGATGCCTCCAGCTTTGTTCTTTTGGCTTAGGATTGACTTGGCGATGCGGACTCTTTTTTGGTTCCATATGAACTTTAAAGTAGTTTTTTCCAATTCTGTGAAGAAAGTCATTGGTAGCTTGATGGGGATGGCAATGAATCGGTAAATTACCTTGGGCAGTATGGCCATTTTCATGATATTGATTCTTCCTATCCATGAGCATGGAATGTTCTTCCATTTGTTTGTATCCTCTTTTATTTCCTTGAGCAGTGGTTTGTAGTTCTCCTTGAAAAGGTCCTTCACATCCCTTGTAAGTTGGATTCCTAGGTATTTTATTCTCTTTGAAGCAATTGTGAATGGGAGTTCACTCATGATTTGGCTCTCTGTTTGTCTGTTGTTGGTGTATAAGAATGCTTGTGATTTTTGTACATTGATTTTGTATCCTGAGACTTTGCTGAAGTTGCTTATCAGCTTAAGGAGATTTTGGCTGAGACAGTGGGGTTTTCTAGATATACAATCATGTCGTCTGCAAACAGGGACAATTTGACTTCCTCTTTTCCTAATTGAATACCTTTTATTTCCTTCTCCTGCCTGATTGCCCTGGCCAGAACTTCCAACACTATGTTGAATAGGAGTGGTGAGAGAGGGCATCCGTGTCTTGTGCCAGTTTTCAAAGGGAATGCTTCCAGTTTTTGCCCATTCAGTATGATATTGGCTGTGGGTTTGTCATAGATAGCTCTTATTATTTTGAAATACGTCCCATCAATACCTAATTTATTGAGAGTTTTTAGCATGAAGGGTTGTTGAATTTTGTCAAAGGCTTTTTCTGCATCTATTGAGATAATCATGTGGTTTTTGTCTTTGGCTCTGTTTATATGCTGGATTACATTTATTGATTTGCGTATATTGAACCAGCCTTGCATCCCAGGGATGAAGCCCACTTGATCATGGTGGATAAGCTTTTTGATGAGCTGCTGGATTCGGTTTGCCAGTATTTTATTGAGGATTTTTGCATCAATGTTCATCAAGGATATTGGTCTAAAATTCTCTTTTTTTGTTGTGTCTCTGCCCGGCTTTGGTATCAGAATGATGCTGGCCTCATAAAATGAGTTAGGGAGGATTCCCTCTTTTTCTATTGATTGGAATAGTTTCAGAAGGAATGGTACCAGTTCCTCCTTGTACCTCTGGTAGAATTCGGCTGTGAATCCATCTGGTCCTGGACTCTTTTTGGTTGGTAAGCTATTGATTATTGCCACAATTTCAGCTCCTGTTATTGGTCTATTAAGAGATTCAACTTCTTCCTGGTTTAGTCTTGGGAGAGTGTATGTGTCGAGGAATTTATCCATTTCTTCTAGATTTTCTAGTTTATTTGCGTAGAGATGTTTGTAGTATTCTCTGATGGTAGTTTGTATTTCTGTGGGATCGGTGGTGATATCCCTTCTATCATTTTTTATTGTGTCTATTTGATTCTTCTCTCTTTTTTTCTTTATTAGTCTTGCTAGTGGTCTATCAATTTTGTTGATCCTTTCAAAAAACCAGCTCCTGGATTCATTGATTTTTTGAAGGGTTTTTTGTGTCTCTATTTCCTTGAGTCCTGCTCTGATTTTAGTTATTTCTTGCCTTCTGCTAGCTTTTGAATGTGTTTGCTCTTGCTTTTCTAATTATTTTAATTGTGATGTTAGGGTGTCAATTTTGGATCTTTCCTGCTTTCTCTTGTGGGCATTTAGTGCTATAAATTTCCCTCTACACACTGCTTTGAATGTGTCCCAGAGATTCTCGTATGTTGTGTCTTTGTTCTCGTTGGTTTCAAAGAACATCTTTATTTCTGCCTTCATTTCGTTATGTACCCAGTAGTCATTCAGGAGCAGGTTGTTCAGTTTCCATGTAGTTGAGCAGCTTTGACTGAGATTCTTAATCCTGAGTTCTAGTTTGATTGCACTGTGGTCTGAGAGATAGTTTGTTATAATTTCTGTTCTTTCACATTTGCTGAGGAGAGCTTTACTTCCAAGTATGTGGTCAATTTTGGAATAGGTGTGGTGTCGTGCTGAAAAAAATGTATATTCTGTTGATTTGGGGTGGAGAGTTCTGTAGATGTCTATTAGGTCCGCTTGGTGCAGAGCTGAGTTCAATTCCTGGGTATCCTTGTTGACTTTCTGTCTCGTTGATCTGTCTAATGTTGACAGTGGGGTGTTAAAGTCTCCCATTATTATTGTGTGGGAGTCTAAGTCTCTTTGTAGGTCACTCAGGACTTGCTTTATGAATCTGGGTGCTCCTGTATTGGGTGCATATATATTTAGGATAGTTAGCTCTTCTTGTTGAATTGATCCCTTTACCATTATGTAATGGCCTTCTTTGTCTCTTTTGATCTTTGTTGGTTTAAAGTCTGTTTTATCAGAGACTAGGATTGCAACCCCTGCCTTTTTTTGTTTTCCATTGGCTTGGTAGATCTTCCTCCATCCTTTTATTTTGAGCCTATGTGTGTCTCTGCACGTGAGATGGGTTTCCTGAATACAGCACATTGATGGGTCTTGACTCTTTATCCAATTTGCCAGTCTGTGTCTTTTAATTGGAGCATTTAGTCCATTTACATTTAAAGTTAATATTGTTATGTGTGAATTTGATCCTGTCATTATGATGTTAGCTGGTGATTTTGCTCTTTAGTTGATGCAGTTTCTTCCTAGTCTCGATGGTCTTTACATTTTGGCATGATTTTGCAGCGGCTGGTACTGGTTGTTCCTTCCCATGTTTAGCACTTCCTTCAGGAGCTCTTTTAGGGCAGGTGTGGTGGTCACAAAATCTCTCAGCATTTGCTTGTCTATAAAGTATTTTATTTCTCCTTCACTTATGAAGCTTAGTTTGGCTGGATATGAAATTCTGGGTTGAAAATTCTTTTCTTTAAGAATGTTGAATATTGGCCCCCACTCTCTTCTGGCTTGTAGGGTTTCTGCTGAAAGATCCGCTGTTCGTCTGATGGGCTTCCCTTTGAGGGTAACCCGGCCTTTCTCTCTGGCTGCCCTTAATATTTTTTCCTTCATTTCAACTTTGGTGAATCTGACAATTATGTGTCTTGGAGTTACTATTCTCGAGGATTATCTTTGTGGCGTTCTCTGTATTTCCTGAATCTGAACGTTGGCCTGCCTTGCTAGATTGGGGAAGTTCTCCTGGATAATATCCTGCAGAGTGTTTTCCAACTTGATTCCATTCTCCCCATCACTTTCAGGTACACCAATCAGATGTAGATTTGGTCTTTTCACATAGTCCCATGTTTCTTGGAGGCTTTGCTCATTTCTTTTTATTCTTTTTTCTCTAAACTTCCCTTCTCGCTTCATTTCATTCATTTCATCTTCCATTGCTGACACCCTTTCTTCCAGTTGATCACATTGGCTCCTGAGGCTTCTGCATTCTTCACGTAGCTCTTGAGCCTTGGTTTTCAGCTCCATCAGCTCCTTTAAGCACTTCTCTGTATTGGTTATTCTAGTTATACATTCTTCTAAATTTTTTTCAAAGTTTTCAACTTCTTTGCCTTTGGTTTGAATGTCCTCCCGTAGCTCTGAGTAATTTGATCGTCTGAAGCCTTCTTCTCTCAGCTCGTCAAAGTCATTCTCCATCCAGCTTTGTTCTGTTGCTGGTGAGGAGCTGCGTTCCTTTGGAGGAGGAGAGGCGCTCTGATTTTTAGAGCTTCCAGTTTTTCTGTTCTGTTTTTTCCCCATCTTTGTGGTTTTATCTACATTTGGTCTTTGATGATGGTGATGTACAGATGGGTTTTTGGTGTGGATGTCCTTTCTGTTTGTTAGTTTTCCTTCTAACAGACAGGACCCTCAGCTGCAGGTCTGTTGGAATACCCTGCCGTGTGAGGTGTCAGTGTGCCCCTGCTAGTGGGGGCCTCCCAGTTAGGCTGCTCGGGGGTCAGGGGTCAGGGACCCACTTGAGGAGGCAGTCTGCCCGTTCTCAGATCTCCAGCTGCGTGCTGGGAGAACCACTGCTCCCTTCAAAGCTGTCAGACAGGGACATTTAGGTCTGCAGAGGTTACTGCTGTCTTTTTGTTTGTCTGTGCCCTGCCCCCAGAGGTGGAGCCTACAGAGGCAGGCAGGCCTCCTTGAGCTGTGGTGGGCTCCACCCAGTTCGAGCTTCCCGGCTGCTTTGTTTACCTAAGCAAGCCTGGGCAATGGCGGGCGCCCCTCCCCCAGCCTCGCTGCCGCCTTGCAGTTTGATCTCAGACTGCTGTGCTAGCAATCAGCGAGACTCCGTGGGCGTAGGACCCTCCGAGCCAGGTGTGGGATATAGTCTCGTGGTGCGCCGTTTTTTAAGCCTGTCGGAAAAGCGCAGTATTCTGGTGGGAGTGACTCGATTTTCCAGGTGCCGTCCGTCACCCCTTTCTGTGACTCGGAAAGGGAACTCCCTGACCCCTTGTGCTTCCCGAGTGAGGCAATGCCTCGCCCTGCTTCGGCTCTCGCACGGTGCGCACTCCCACTGACCTGCGCCCACTGTCTGGCACTCCCTAGTGAGATGAACCCGGTACCTCAGATGGAAATGCAGAAATCACCCGTCTTCTGTGTCGGTCACGCTGGGAGCTGTAGACCAGAGCTGTTCCTATTTGGCCATCTTGGCTCCTCCCCCCAGTGTATTCTTTGGGAAAACAACTAAAATATAATGAAACAGTTTCTAGTGCAAAACTCTTTGAAAATCCCTAAAGAAAATTTGACATTGTTTTTGATGAAATTTTGTAAAGTTCCATTAAAGACAGACACAATATACGCACAACCAGGTGCTAAGATACATAAAACTTATGTTTATTTATTTTAAAAATTCAATAAAAAGGTTACAGATTTTTCTTTAAATATTCCTACAACAATTATGTATGCTTTTTGAAAACAATTTTCCATGGGTATTTTATTGGCTTCTGATGCAATAATTATTTCAACTACAATTACGTATCACAAAAGCCAAATAAATTTTCATCCACACTATGCAGAGTGCCAGATTTACACCTACAGACAGATACTTCCCTAGACTTGATTGAGTATAAAAGTATGTAACATTTTCCTGGTTTCCATTGATATTAGAAGCACAATAATCTACACAGCTTACCAGTGGCATCATAAAATAATATATGCAAGTGCTTTAAAATGTTACATGAGTCAAATCACTGTAAGTTATTATTATCACTTCATCACCTGTACTATTAACAGTCATGACAGCCACAAAATGCCCTTTGAATGGGAGACAGTAATAATAATACTGTCATTTGTTAAGAGCCCAATTCGAGCCTGGCACATGACTAGATACTTTATAAGCATTTAATTTTCTCAGTAACTGTGAGAGGTTAGTCATATGCCCATTTTTAGACAAAGATCCTGAAATCTAGGTTGTTAAGTAGTGCTTCCAAAATGACAGAATGGTGTGTCGAAGTTGGACAGGGATCTTCTCTTCCTCTTTTTCTTCCTTCCGTCTCCGGGGAAACTAGCCCAGATCTGACACATGGCAAGAACTTAGGGTAAGGTTTTCATTGTTTCCAGCCTATTCAGATGCCCCCATCTGCAGTGTACCAAAGACCCTTGTATTAGTCAGAGTGCCCCACAGAAACAAAAATAGCAGAATGTGTGTGTGTGTGTGTGTGTGTGTGTGTGTGTGTGTGTGTTTAGAAAGTGGGATTATTTTAAGAGATTGCCTCACATAGTTGTGGAGGCTGGTGACCTCTAAAATCTGCGGGGTAGGCCAGCAGGCTGGAAACACAGGGAAGAGCTGATGCTGCAATTTCCATCCAAAGGCTGTCTACTGGCAGAATTCCCACTTCTGAGGCAGAGGTGAGTCTTTTTCTATTAAGGCCTTCAACAGATTGAATGAGCCCCACCCACATTATGGAGGGCAATCTGCTTTACTCAAAGTCTACTGATTTAAATGTTATTTTCACCTAAAAAGTACCTTCACAAAAACATATAGAATAATCTTTGACCAAATACCTGGGCACTGTCACCCAGCAAAGTGGACATATAGTATTAATCACCACTATCCTGCATGAGATCAAAGCAACACCACCCAGTCATTACTTTGCCTGCAGTGAGCCACTTCTGTTTGGTTGAATTTCAAATGTCAGTGATTAATTTTTCACATTCCAACACACTTCTCTCCACCTCCTCTGCTCCTACCATGATGCAATCTCCTTCACACCTGAGTTACTGCAATTGCTCTCCCTGCTTCTATCATTGCTCTCCCTGCTTCTATCATTGCTCTCCCTGCTTCTATCATGCTCCTGTGCAATACGGTAGTTATACAAAGGCAGCCACGTTTCTCCACCACAAAATCCTGGGTTGTTTTCCCATTTCACCTAGTGAAAATTTGAAGTCTTTAGAACGACCTCTCAGGCTCTACATGATCTGCCCCGGATGCCTCTTTTGCTCCCTTCTCTCCCGGCTTTCCCCTGCTCATTCTGTTCCAGCCACATTGGCCTCCAAGCTCATCCTCCAGCTTCCTGGCTTTGGCCCTATTCCCTTGCACTGGCTGACTCTCTGCCTAGAACCTTCTTACCCAAATATCCACCAAATTAGGTCCTTCAGCTTTGTAAAGATGGTTCTCATGTCTCCTCCACAGCTATACCTTTAAAAACTACAGTTCTTCCCCCACTTGCATTAGTTTTCTGTTGCTGCAAAACAAATCGCCGCAAATTTAGCAGCTTAAAGCATCACCCATTATCTCACAGCTCGGTAGATCATGAGTCCAGGTGGGCTCCACTAAGGTCTCTGCTGAGAGTTTCACAAGGCACCTCATGTTAGGAGGCAGTAAGTATAGTCAGCTCTTTAATGAATTTTTCTGTAAACTGGAGGAAATGGAGTGGTAACTGGAGAGGAATTAGGGGCCAAAGGAGACTTTGTTTATTTATTTATGTTATTTTTTAATTTTATTTTTTATATCCATAGGTTTTGTGGGAACAGGTGGTATTTGGTTACATGAGTAAATTCTTTACTCATGTGATTTGTGAGATTTTGGTGCACCCATCACCCAAGCAATATACACTGAACCCAATTTGTAGCCTTCTATTTTTAATGCTGTCAGGTTCCACGTTATGTTTCCATGCTGATTAAAATGGTATAAAAGACAAATTTTCCACTGATGGCTGCAGAAGAGAAGGAAGGAGAAAATTATGGGTGCAAAATCACTGAGTAGTCAGCAATGGATCAAATCTGGGGCACAATAGGGAACTGCCTCGGTTGGAAGCACATGAGGTAACCAATCCAATCAGGAGGTGAGACAGAAGATAGAGGCACAGATGCAGGTGGACAGTAGGACTGTGTGGGGAATGCTTGGCAATTCTCTTTGGATACTTCCTGGTTTTCAGTTGAGAGTGAGGAGGAGTTGCAGGAGGGTTATTGTCTGTTTGTGGGGAGAAGAGAAGCCTTGACATATTCTTCGGGTTACTTGGGGAGTGGAAAGACAATAAGTAGGTTTTAAGATTGTCAATGACCATTTATTAAATAGGGAATCCTTTCCCCATTGCTTGTTTTTCTCAGGTTTGTCAAAGATCAGATAGTTGTAGATATGCGGCGTTATTTCTGAGGGCTCTGTTCTGTTCCATTGATCTATATCTCTGTTTTGGTACCAGTACCATGCTGTTTTGGTTACTGTAGCCTTGTAGTATAGTTTGAAGTCAGGTAGTGTGATGCCTCCAGCTTTGTTCTTTTGGCTTAGGATTGACTTGGCGATGCGGACTCTTTTTTGGTTCCATATGAACTTTAAAGTAGTTTCTCCCAATTCTGTGAAGAAAGGCATTGGTAGCTTGATGGGGATGGCATTGAATCTGTAAATTACCTTGGGCAGTATGGCCATTTTCACGATATTGATTCTTCCTATCCATGAGCATGGAATGTTCTTCCATTTGTTTGTATCCTCTTTTATTTCCTTGAGCAGTGGTTTGTAGTTCTCCTTGAAGAGGTCCTTCACATCCCTTGTAAGTTGGATTCCTAGGTATTTTATTCTCTTTGAAGCAATTGTGAATGGGAGTTCACTCATGATTTGGCTCTCTGTTTGTCTGTTGTTGGTGTATAGGAATGCTTGTGATTTTTGCACATTGATTTTGTATCCTGAGACTTTGCTGAAGTTGCTTATCAGCTTAAGGAGATTTTGGGCTGAGACAATGGGGTTTTCTAGATATACAATCATGTCATCTGCAAACAGGGACAATTTGACTTCCTCTTTTCCTAATTGAATACCCTTTATTTCCTTCTCCTGCCTAATTGCCCTGGCCAGAACTTCCAACACTATGTTGAATAGGAGTGGTGAGAGAGGGCATCCCTGTCTTGTGCCAGTTTTCAAAGGGAATGCTTCCAGTTTTTGCCCATTCAGTATGATATTGGCTGTGGGTTTGTCATAGATAGCTCTTATTATTTTGAAATATGTCCCATCAATATGAGATACCATCTCGCACCAGTTAGAATGGCAATCATTAAAAAGTCAGGAAACAACAGGTGCTGGAGAGGATGTGGAGAAATAGGAACACTTTTACACTGTTGGTGGGACTGTAAACTAGATCAACCATTGTGGAAGTCAGTGTGGCGATTCCTCAGGGATCTAGAACTAGAAATACAATTTGACCCAGCTATCGCATTACTGGGTATATACCCAAATGACTATAAATCATGCTGCTATAAAGACACATGCACACGTATGTTTATTGCGGCATTATTCACAATAGCAAAGACTTGGAACCAACCCAAATGTCCAACAATGATAGACTGGATTAAGAAAATGTGGCACATATACACCATGGAATACTATGCAGCCATAAAAAATGAGTTCATGTCCTTTGTAAGGACATGGATGAAATTGGAAACCATCATTCTCAGTAAACTATCGCAAGAACAAAAAACCAAACACCGCATATTCTCACTCATAGGTGGGAATTGAACAATGAGATCACATGGACACAGGAAGGGGAACATCACACTCTGGGGACTGTTGTGGGGTGGGGGGAGGGGGGAGGGATAGCACTGGGAGATATACCTAATGCTAGATGTATTAGTGTGTTAGTGGGTGCAGTTAGACGAGTTAGTGGGTGCAGCACACCAGCATGGCACATGTATACATATGTAACTAACCTGCACAATGTGCACATGTACCCTAAAACTTAAAGTATAATAATAAAAAAAATTTAAAAAAAAAAGATTGTCAATGACAAGGGACTAATTGAGGCTGATTGCTGTGAACTTAAAGTAAAGCCATTTAGCATGATTGGTGATTGTTTTTCTCCAGCCATAGCTGATGGGGTGGAGGTGAGGAAAGTTAGATTTAAAAGTGGTTGAGTTAATTAAAAAAAGGTGTGTCAATCATGAAACAAGAGTTGGAAATCACTAAAAACCAGCATAAATAAACCAACAAAGGAATATTCAGTTGTTCCTCTGTATCTAAGGCGGATTGCTTCCAGCAGATATGAAAATCTTCAGACACTCAAATCCCTCATATTGGCATCCTTCCATAAACTCTAGATTACTTATAATACCTAACGCAATGTTAATGAAATTTAAATAGTTGTTATATTGTATTGTTTTAAAATTTGTATTACTTTTTGTTGTTGCATTATTATTTTTTCAAATATTTTCAGTCAGTAGTTGGTTGAATCAGTGGATGTGGAACCCTAGGATATGATGGGTTGATTGTGTGTTTCTGTGTGCGTATAAATTTTTCATATGTAAACAAATGTGTTTATATATTTAATAATATAATACATCATATATATTTAAGAGAATGTTCCTTAACAGAATTTCTTATATTGTTTATGGTATATGTCTACTGTGATTACACAGTTTGCATAATATATGGAATTTCTAACACCAAGTTTACCAGAGAAAACTCTGGGTACATTCTCCCTCAACGCTCTCAGGGGTGCTAATGTTTCAGGATACATTCTTTAGAAGGCATGTAACTTTAAGTTTCTCACCAAATAACATCAAATCAGTGTGCTGAATCACTATTTTCAAAAGAAGGAAAGAATATCTAAACTCTTTCTTTTGAAAATAGTGATATTTCTCTTTCAGTTTTCTGTTATATTAATAATTTCCTAATTTCTCTTAAAGATTTACATTTCCTGTTATGGTGAATAACCTTTTCCTAGTAATGTGAAGTTAAAGTATATTTATTGAAAGAACAAAGCATTGTCTTAACAGTTCCCCACTGTCTTAATCAGTTTAGGCTGCTGTAACAAAATACAAGGTACTGGGAGCTTGAACAACAAACACTTATTTCTGATAGTTCTGGAGGTTGGGAAGTCCACGATAAAGGTGCCAACAGATTTGGTGTCAGGTGAGGGCTCTGTTTTTTTTTTTTTTTTTTTTTTTTGAGACGGAGTCTTGCTCTGTGGCCCAGGCTGGAGTGCGGGTGGCACGATCTCGGCTCACTGCAAGCTCCACCTCCCGGGTTCACGCCATTCTTCTGCCTCAGCCTCCCGAGTAGCTGGGACTACAGGCGCCCGCCACCACGCCAGGCTAATTTTTTGTATTTTTAGTAGAGACAGGGTTTCACTGTGTTAGCCAGGATGGTCTCTATCTCCTGACCTCGTGATCCACCCGCCTCAGCCTCCCAAAGTGCTGGGATTACAGGCGTGAGCCACTGCGCCCGGCCAGGGGCTCTTCTTGATTTGCAGGTAGCCACATCTTGCTGGGTCCTCACACGGTAAAGAGAGAGAGAGCACTCTGATCTTTTCCTCTTCTTATAAAAGCTCCACTCTTATAATGGGAGCTCTACACTGATGATCGCACCTTAACCTAATCACCCCCAAAGGTCCTACCTTCAAATGCTATCACATTCGGGGTTAGGGCTTCCACATATGAATTTGGGCGGGGACATATTCAGTCCAAAGCATTCACTTTTCTTGAGCTTCAATCCTTCAAAAGATACTCTAATTCTTTCCCTTTTTAAGTTAATATTCTTTAATAAATGATTGAAAGAAAAGTGGAACAAATGCATTTATTCACTCATACACTTTTCTCTGCTCACTCAATAGTTTTTTCAAGGTTCACAATGGATAAAGTTGAATGAAATTTCCAAATCAAATTGTTTCCCTTCTTGCCAGTCATGAATATGATAATATTGTTTTAGTTTATAAGAAGTTATTTTCAAGCAAGTTGATCTAATGATCTGTGAAAAGCAAGCCCACTGTTTAAAGATGTCATTATTTATGGAATAATCATATTTTTGGGGTAACACAGTTGTTTCAAAATAAACATTGAAGCCTTATTTTAGGCAATGAAATACATCTTAATATTACTTATATTAATATATTAAATATATATTTGGTATTTTAGGCATTTTTAATCACCAACATTTTTTTTTATGTGGTCAAAAAATTCTTCACTTTTGGAAATCTTTTGTATAAGATATCTTCTCACAGTTTTTATGAGGCTATCAAAATATTTTTAATTAAAATGTAGGCTTTATTAGTGTAAATGCCAACAGAAAGTATGAAATTAGAGTATTTTCTACAGTAGGCAGCTAGCTGTAAAGAACAAGTGGTGGATCACAAATAAGACTGTAGCTCAAACATGGTGTTTGCCAGTAGCTGAGATGTAACTGTAGACAACCTAAGCTCTGTTGGGTTAGTTTGTTTACGTCTTGATGCGTATTTTAAGTTGATGCATTGATAATACTTAACATCATTACTTCAATTATCTTTTACAGGCTTTAAAGATCTCAGATACTATAATTTTAGAACAAATTTATTTATTTATTTATTTTGAGACAGGTTCTCACTCTAGAGCATCATCCAGGCTGGAGTGCAGTGGCACCATGATGGCTCACTGCAGCCTCCATCTCCTAGGATTAGGTGATCTTCCTGTCTCAGCCTCCTGAGTCACTGGGTCTACAGGTGCGTACCACCATGCCCAGCTAATTTTTTGTATTTTTTGCAGAGATGGGGTTTCTCCATGTTACCCAGGCTGGTCTCGAGCACCTGGGTTCAAGTGATCCTCCTCCCTTGGCTTCCCAAAGTGCTGGGATTACAGGCATGAGCCACCACACCTGGCCTAGAAGAAATTTAAAACAAATCAGAATTCTATACAAATATGGTAAAGATTATATTATGGTAGTACTTTGAATTCATAATGCATATATTTTACAGAGAACTACAGATAAAGTTTTCCCTTAACCGATCCTGGCAGCCACCGTTTTATAATAAATAAGGAAAGAAATAAATACTATAGCACTAATCACATTTCCAGGCACACGGTAGTTATTCAATATTAACAACGGGTATTATAATTTTGAAACAATGGTTTTCAGCTCATGGAAGGTATATTTTCTGTTACTGTAGATGGACTCTCGAAAGACTTACATCTAATATATTATTTAAATGATGGAAAATAAACTCAATATACTTGAAGACTTGGCTTTCCTTTGTGTCAAATTCAAAAGCAGTTCCTTCCACTTTTTTCCTGTAAGTCACGGGTGTATTTCTAATATTCTAGTTTTTAAAATGAATTATCCCGTAATCGTGGAGCCTGAAAATAAAGATGATTTGAATATACATAATTACTTTGGTGGTTTTATTTCCATCACATTATAAGCAGTTTCTTGAATGTTTTCTATGAAAATTATCTTTGAATATCTGTCACAAGAACCTCTAGATAATGAAAGTTTAATAAAAGATAGTTTTATTTCATTAAATCATCAGTCTTCTTAGGTATATAATTACATTTTGATGCATAAAGAATCTATAAAAGCAATTTTTCTGTTTTCAGGGTTTTACCTAACTACAACTTAGTGTAAATTCTACATGTTAAAATAACATGAGGTTGTGAAATGCCTATTTAAAAGAAGTTGCAAATATGCAAGGTAGAGGTTTCCATGATCTAATTTATACTATAGATTAGACTATGTGGCAGTAACATAATAATTACAATTATTTTAGTGGATCAACAAGAAGGTTTTACTTGTCTCCCCAGGTGCACATTCCTCCTGGATAGCCAACCCCATTGCCTTGTGTTGCAGTCACCTCAGCATATGGTGTCCAGGGTCTCGATGGCATAGAAATGGAGCTGGAGGGGGCCAGGTATGGTGGCTCGCGCCTGTAATCCCAGCACTTTGGGAGGCCGAGGCAGGCGGATCACCTCAGGTCAGGAGTTCGAGACCAGCCTGACCAACATGGTGAAACCCCATCTCTACTAAAAATACAAAAAAAATTAGCCAGGCGTTGTGGTGGGTGCCTATAATCCCAGCTACTGGGGAGGCTGAGGCAGGAGAATCGCTTGAACCCGGGAGGCGGGGGTTGCAGTGAGCCGAGATCACACCACTGCACTTCAGGCTGGGTGACAAGAGCAAAACTCTGTCTCAAAGAAAGAAAGAAATGGAGCTGGAGGGTTACAGACAACTGTTGTGACCTAGCATGGGTAAGTAAGCAGATATAGTATCTGCTTACATTCCTTCCACCAGAACTCAGGGAGGCTGTAATGTGTCATTTTACTATGTGTCTAAAAAGAGAAAAAAGAAGTGGAATTAGGTAGATCTATAACTGTATAATTCTCTTGCTTTTAGAAAATACCACATGATTAATTTTCCATTGTCAATCAATGATATGGAGAAGACAGATGTCATAGCTTCACCTTTTTTCCATTTATATACCTGGAGCTATTAAGGTATTTTCATTCTACAATAAAATTGTATGATTTGAATCAGCACATTTACAGATAGAGTAGCTTTTAATCTCCGTTAGACCACAAAAATCTCCTATACTTGGTCCACATTCCCTGCTTCCCCTTTCCTCATGATCACATCCCCCATGAATGTCTGTTCCCACCCTGGTTTATTTAGATGATGACATTTTAATGAGAACTATACCATATGTGTGTTTTTAAATTGTGGCCTGAAATTATGTTTAAAGCAATATACTGTACTATAAAATAAATGTCTCTGAATGTAATCCCATGTTAATGTCGGCTGCAATTTAGGTTGAGAGCACTGCCTGTCTTCTGGCTTGGATAGTATTTCCTGCAGTGAAGAACACTTAGCATTAAGGAGCAGAATTTCGGTTGTATTTAATGACTACCTAATGTCAAGCAATTGCCTGGGAAGGAAGGCACCCATATTATATGGTTCAGTGATGGGAAAGCTTATGCTCCACTTTTCCATTTTTACACTTGACATTGTTTAAATACGAGGTTTTCTACCATGTTATTTTATTTTACAACTTCAGTGAAGAAAGAGAAGTAAACGCTAACATTTGTTAAAAATAATTAAAATTATTTTCTTATATGTAAAATACATTATGCTATGTTAGATTGTGTTCATATATATTTTTTGCATAATGATATGAGAAAAACTCCTTTATCATCTCCTGCTATTTACTTGTTCTTTTAGACACAGAAGCTGTAATAGCTATGATAGTGGCTGTTAATGTGATATTGTTGTCATCTTAGTATTAGCATTGCTTAATCTGGTATCACTGTCCTTGTTGGTCTTCATATGCATGCTGAGAAGCTCACAGAGATGTTACCTATCTGAAGTGGTTCAGATGCACCACTGTTCAGTAACCTTTTGTGCTGCTTAAAGCACTGTTAAGATTTTTTGGAGATTTACTTCTCATCTGATCTGATCACTAGATCCCTTAGCCATGTATTTGCAAACAATGTTGCATTCCCTCTCTGTTGCAGGGATTTCTATAGTTTTTTAAAATATATTTTGCACTTTTATGCAACTACTAGAATTGGTAGTCACATTTTGAACATGAATTCTGAAAAAAAGACAAATTTGGAAATGCCTTCTCAATCATTGAGAATGATTAAATTGTATGCGGTATAGGGGAAGTGGGATATCTTATTGACAAAAACATGTAGCATATAATAATTGCCCATTCTCTAAATATTTTGAATAGCACAGATTATTATATTTGTTATTGATGTATGGCTAAGCACAGGATAATTCAGAGCCATTTAAATAACTGAGAAAAAAGGAAACTTTTATTCAAGATGGAGTTCATAACTAAAAAATGAGACAATATAAAATTTAGGAGATAATTAAAATGTTTATAACTCAACCAAGAAAAATTATCTATCCTAAACTGCCTGGGACTGCTTGTGATAGCTATTCAATCACTGCAGGGAAGCTCAGGACTATAGATTCCATTGCATTAGGTTAACAGATTTATACACCTTCTATGCTCCAAACCAACTATTGTATTTCTTTGCAAAGCAAACCTAATAAAAGGAGTAACTGATTACAGATATGGAAGAAAAAAAAGACCATCCAAATGACAGCAGCAGATAATATATATTCAGAGCTTGCCATAGCAAGGGAGTCAGCCACTTGTGATTGGCAGAGACTCAAAGGATGCATGTTGGAAGGAAATACATTGAGTGAACAACAGCAACAAAAAGTAATGGTTCTAATACACTCTGATCAGAGGTTGTTTGCATGCAGAAGCTGGAGGTGAGCTAACTGGAAGCTGGGCATTTTGTGTTAGGTTTGAAATTACACTTGTTTTTCTCTAGTTGGTCCTGGCTTGCAAGAAGGACAAAAGAACAGGGGAGCTGACAGTCCTGACTATTCTGGGTTGATTGCTGCAAAAGCAGTGGTTTGGCTTTCTGGACAGAGCTACAGAGTATGTGGGTCAGATTTCTGTTGTTATAATACGATCTGACCAATAACATCTTTTGGATACTATAATTATTCAACAAATACTGACTGTATGCCAAATATGTTCATTTCTCCCCTCAGAATATTTCATCTCTTTTTATCCAAACTTTAAGATAGATCCTAATTAACCAGCATACACTGAAGTATTATTTACATCTTAATAGATGTAAATAATATAAATAGGATGTACCAGAGTCAGTGATTTGTAAATCATAAGAGTTCATGATCTCTTCTTTCCAAATTGGCCATGGGTAAATTTACTGTTTTTTTAGATGCCTTTCTCTAACAATGCTTGAAAATGTTTGTAAATTACTACATACATAAGAGCAACAACAAAATACATAGTATATATTCAAATAGTTTGCTCTTCCAAATATGACTTGATTTTTCATTTTCCTCATCAACTACCTGAGTAGTATGGAAAGACTCTCTTACCATCAAGCACTGTTTCTTCTCTCTCCAAAGACTTGCTTCTGCTACGCATATTCTTGTCTGGTGGATTAGGTTCCTAAGATTTTCTCATTTAACTGTTTTATTACTTGTGTGGCTTGTGTAACTAATTTTCCTTCATTTTAAATTCATTTCCTAATCCATTGTTTGGAATTAGAATGAGTTAGAGATGTTTTCTTTTTTAAGATATATATTTATTATGTAAACTTTCCTCTTGGTACTGCTTTGGTGGCATCCCATAAGTTTTGGTATGTTGTCTTTTCATTTTCATTTGTCTCAAGATACTTTGGAAATTTCCCTTTTGATTTTTAAAAACCTTATTGTTAAATTTCCACATATTTGTGAATTTTTTAGTTTTCTTCTGCTATTAATTTCTAGTTTTATTTTATCGTGGTTGAAAAAATACTTGGTAAGATGTCAATCTTCTTAAATTTGTTGAAACTTGTTTTGTGACCTAATATGTATGCTATCCTGGAACGTGTTCACTTGAGAAGAATGTGTTTTCTTCTGCTATTGGTTACAGTGCTCTGCAGATGTCTGTTAGATCCACTTAGTGTATAGTGTTGTTCAAGTCCACTTTTTTCTTATTGATTTTTTTTGAATGTTCTATTGATTGTTGAAAGTAGGGTATTGAAGTCTCTTATTATTGTAGTACTGCCAATTTGTTCTTTCAGATCTTTCAATGTTTGCTTTATATATTTAGGTGTTTGATGTTGGGTGCTTACATATTTATAGATATATTTATAATTCTATCTTCCTGATGGATTATTAATTTTATTATTATGCTGTTCCTTATACAGATGACAGGGTTATGTAGACCTTCTCTGTATCTTGTGACAGTTCTTAACAAGAAGTCTATTTTGTCTAATTTAAGTGTAGCCATTCTTACTATCTCTTGGTCATCATTTGCATGGAATAATTTTTTTTATACCTTCAGTTTCAGCTTATGCATGTCTTTGATTCTAAAGTGAGTCTCTTGTAGACAGCATATCGCTGGATCTTATTTCTTTATCCATTCACCCACTCTATCTATTTATTAGAGAGTTTAATCCATTTTATTTATAGTAATTATTGATAGCTTAAAACTCATTGTCATTTTATTAATAGTTTTCAATGTCTTTTGTAATTATTTGTGTCTCTTTTTCTCTCTGTCTTTCTTTGTGATTTGTTGATTCCACTTAATCAAACTCATAGGAAGCAAAGTAGAATGGTGTTTTCCAGGGCCTAGGGAGAAGGAGAAACCGGCAGCTGCTGTTCAATAGATACAAGATTTCAGTTTTTAAAGATGAATAAGTTATAAAGATCTGCCATATAACATTGTGTCTACAGTTAGCAATACCATATTGTGCACTTAAAATTTTGTGAAGAGGGAAAATCTCATGAAGTTGTTACCACAGTAATAATTTTTTAAAAACATGGGGAATAATATCTTGCATAAAGTAATAATTGAATAAATATATAATTATAATTATTTAAAAAACAAGTTAGAGAAAGATAATATTAAAATTAAAAACTTGCTGAATCATTTGTTTATTTAGCAATATTGGTGTCTTAAAGTTAGCTTTATAATTAATTAATTAATAGAGAAGAAGATTATCAGAGGCTTGTTTTTAAGCATTTGGCTCATCTTCCCTGCAAACCTTAAGAAAAGTCCCCATCAAAAAAATGTAATAGATTGTTTTAAATATATGACTTTGAATTTCTTCAGTAATCTTTTCTTTTTCCTGTAATGGGGAGTGATGGATTAGGGAGGAAAGAGAGTCAGAGACAAAGTAGATTTATTACTCTAGTGTAAATGATAACTTTCTCTCACATAACTTATAACTGAAACTTGGTCGGTTAACCACAAGAGCCTAGCACACACGCAAGCCTGAATTTCAGACTGGCTTTGCCATTTGTGATTTTCTCACTCTCATTATCTGATGCCCTCTTTGAGAGTAAGGTTTGCTGAAATCCTTTAGCCTATTGCAGTCAACCACAGAGAGAGGTTGTGACCAAGATATAAACCTCTAGTTGCTTTAAAGATGTTTGAAATAAAACTATAAAGCTTTGTGCTTGTTGCTGTTGTCTCCTAACCATTACTTTATCCCAAAGTGGTTTTTGCTGTATGCACAAAGAACATTTTTAAAAGTATATGATTGCTAATCACAATGAAGTTAAGTGGAATTAGTGCTTAGGCTCATTTAATGAGTTGGCAATTGAATTAAGGATGTATAACCATTCAGATTAATGATACTGTCCAATCAATGCAACTCATAGAAAATTCAGCTTACCATAAGGTTAGAGTACTGATTCATCAATAGGATGACTAATATGCCTCATAACATATGAGCAATACATGAGCTAATCTTAGAGTTGACAGAAGTCTGAGGTGTATTTGTTATTCCTGAACATTGTAAAAAATTTCTGAACTTCTGAAACTTTGCTTGTAAAAACAAAAACTGGTTAACTTTCTAAAATATAAGATATTTATATTAATATCACAGGATATTTTAACGAAGAACTTTAATATTTTCTATTCTTTACCAGACATATCACCTTGTTTTGAATTCGCTCATATCAGTTACATGGGTAAAATCTTATATTCTCAAAGGAATAAAAAATGCATCGTTTATGTCAATTGTTTCAACTACACACCAATGTCTGTCATCAAATAGCAGTAAAGTATCCTTGCAAGAATAAATTTTTGTTCATTATTTTATTAAATGAAACCTTGTATTACTTTTTTCTATTAAAATTATATACACTAATATTTTAATATTTTCTAAATTTATATTTCATATGTATGAATATAACTCATAAGGTTTAATTCACTATAATTGTAATGGCCCAGATAATACAAAATATAAGTACTTAAAATTCTTTAGTTAGATGTGTAAAGCATGTTTCAACAAAATTGAAGAGTTTTGATATATTTTCAGCCAAATCAGTTTACACCTTACCTAAATCATTGTCTTAGTCCTGCCATTCCACATTACATTTTTTCAATTATACCAAGTTAAGCTTATACTCAAACTTTGATAACTTAAAAAATATTTGTTTTCTTTTTCTCTGTCTCATCTCTACCTTTTCCTTTTGTCGTCTTAGAAATGAATCGCTAAAATACTCACAAACGTGCTGAGTACACAGTATCAAGGACACTAGATACAATCCAGCATCAACACTACTTTGCTTTTGTGATGGAAGAGTTATAAAGACCTGTCCATATAGTAATAGGCTGATGTGTTGCTTTGTACCTAATGAAAACTTAAGGCAAATGTCAGTATGAGTACTAATTTCTCAATGTTACTGTAGAAAAAAAAATATAGAGATGTTTATCATCACAAAAATTTTTGCTTATCAGACTATTGCAAATGACAAATTAAAAAAAAAACTAAATTTTCTTAATGTTGTATCAAAAAGTACACCACAGATAAAATAGGTGTTATGACATGAGACAAGTGTATAAAAGACAATGGAATTGTATCTTGAAAACATCTTATGGGGGTATGAGCAGCCTGGACATATAAATAAACACTGTACTTAAGAACTACTTCAGGCCGGGCACGCTGGCTCACGCCTGTAATCCCAGCACTTTGGGAGGCCAAGGCTGGTGGATCTTAAGGTCAGGCATTCGAAACCAGCCTGGCCAACATAGTGAAACCCCATCTTTACTAAAAATACAAAAAATTAGCCGAGTGTGGTGGCGGGTACCTGTAATCCCATCTACTCAGGAGGCTGAAGCAGGAGAACCGTTTGAACCTGGGAGGCAGAGGTTGCAGTGAGCCAAGATTGCGCAACTGCACTCCAACCTGGGTGACAGTGCGAGACTCCATCTCAAAAAAAAAAAAAGAAAGAAAGAACCACTTTAAGCTGGGCGCTGTGGCTCATGCCTGTAATCCCACCACTTTGTGAGGCCGAGGCAGGTGGATCATTTGAGGTCATGAGTTCGAGACCAGCCTGGCCAACACAGTGAAACCCCATCTCTACTAAAAGTACAAATTTAGCTGGACGTAGTGGTGTGCACCTGTAATCCCAGCTACTTAGGAGGCTGAGGCAGGAGAATCACTTGAACTCTGGAGGCAGAGGTTGCAGTGAGCCAAGATTATGCCACTGCACTCCAGCGTGCACAATAGAGCAAGACTCCATCTCAAAAAATAATAATAATAATAATTAATAAATAAATAAAAAAGAAAAAAGTAAAATAACCATTTTAGACTCACTTTTAGCAAACTGGAAGACACAAGCGATTCAGCTAAAAACAGTTATCCAAGTAGCCCAGTAAATGATACCAAAAAGTCAGGATTCTGTAAGAATCCACACACAGACACACATGTGCACATATACACACGTTTTATAAATATATATATGATGTTACACATATATGTGTGTGTATGTATAAAACAGCAAAAATTACAAAAGTGAAAAGTAGAAAATAGTAAGAAAAACAGCAACAGTAACAATTATAAAACAACAGTATATCTGTATATGTGACCTTCCGATGAATTTGTACTATATATTGTCATTTTAGAAATATGGGGAAAAATCAATGGTTCTTGGATTAAAAAGCAATTAAATAAGAAAAACTTTGTGCATTTCTTATTCTTTATGTGGGAATATTCCTTTCATATTAAATAAAACAATCAAACCAAAATTTTTAAAAATATGGAAGTTGTAGCCTAAGGTAGTTAACCATTTTCCTGTTGAGAAAAATAAAGATGCAGCATGCTGTCAGCACTCATTTAATTTTACATAAACACATTCTTTGAGGCTGAAGTAAATCTGACTGATTTTCAACATGAAAATAAAATATAAAAACTGTTCTTGGAGTTATTTCTAATCAAAACTGACATCAGAATCATCTGAATCATCAGAATCATCTACTTTGAAAAAAAATCTGATTTTTCAAACAAATCTTCTGCCAACAAGTGTTAGAGAAATATGTTAACGTCATGGGTGGGATTGCTACGTTTACTAGGATTTGACATTTTCAGCAATTGAAAATTACTACATTTTGTAAAAGGACATATCACTACTAAAAACAGAATGCTAGAAATAGAATGATGTCTTTTGTTTCCAATGTCAATATACTAGAGTGATATGAAAATAACAATAAAAGTGAGATATTTTGTGGCAAAATTATCTCAGGTGCAGCTGCAATCATTGCTTGCAAATATTCTTGGGGCAAACGGGGAAAAGATTAAGAAAATAACAAGAATACATTTATCTTTTTAGTGAATAGGTTCAACTGGATATAGTCTAATTATATGTCATGGCATTAAGCAAAATTGAAGATTTATAACTGAGCTACCACCACTTTTGAAATTTTTACAGAATAGTAGGTATGCTCATAGACTGGAAGTAAAGTAATATCCCAATTGTTAGAGGGGAGAAAGAAAATATTCTTGAAAATATAGGCTGATGCCAAATTATGGAAAATTTCTAGAACTTATCAAATGGATAGTGTGAGAATATTTTGATGAGTTGTACTAGCTAATGATAACTATTATATTGTATTAATAATTTAATCCATATTCCTCTGCTATTCATAGAAAATGCTGAAACACTTAGACATAAAAATATTGAAAAAGAATTATATTTCATTTGGAAAAACATTTATATTTGGTGGACAAGTCTGACAAGAGGATGAAAAATGGGTTAAATAAAAGTAATAATATTAAAACTTCAAGGCTTAATTGGCTAAATGAGTGCTGATTAAAGGTTTTATGTAATCTGTAGATATTGACGGTTTTCACATTTTTACTTCAGCTTTAGAAACTGGGAAGAAAGTGCTAAGAAGCACCGTGGAAGTTCCCGATTTGTCTCTTTACAGGGGAAGAAATTTCCCTGGGAAAGAACAAAACGGGGTGACCCGGTTAAATTCCTTGGAAACTTGCTCTTGACCAAACTGACAAATGCACTAAAAACTATTTACTATTTACTGAAAAGTATTTACTAACAAACTATTCACTAACTTCAATTTTACAAATTGTAACATGTAGTTACACTGGAATTGCTATGTGGTTAAAATTTAAACGTTCTAACATATCTCCTGGAGCATAGAAAACTAATTCTTATAGCAAGTGTCCAGTTGGAATCTCAGAACGTTCTGTCTTTGACCAAGTCTTGTTTTGTATTTTCATCGCAACCTACAGAATGAATTTATAGAAAGCTTTACGTAGGATTTGTAAAATTTGTGTGAGGTCTTGAAGTGCATGGACTGATGAAGCCTGGCAGTCTGGAAAATGTAGGTAAATTATTTGATCTTCCAAGTATAAAACCGAGCTGTTTAATTATCCAAATCTGTATTTTGTGTGTCAGTGATGTGACTGCTCGTATTACTTAAGGACCTTGAAAAACAGCCTAGGCTACTGCCCTCTGTGGGGAGGATGGCTCTGTGGATGTGCACTGGGAGTCCCAGACCCATTTTGTAATTACTTGTGTCCTTGAAATTGTGAAAAATCTGGATATTGAGTAAGATATTTGACTGATGTGACTTTTAACAGATAGATCCTTTTCAACACATTAAAGCTTTAATTAATAAAGAGATTATATATATATAATTTATTTATGTATTATATATGTTGAAAGTAGAACTAATTGATTAGTGAAGGGGTGATTTATAGAGATGTCTCCCTTCTAGGTCTTCCAGTCACAGCCTGTCTATTTCCACCTGAGATGAATCTCAATGGAACAAATAATAAACTATTTGTGTTCTAGAAACATCTTAATCTTTGTAGTAGAGAAGATCTGAATTTGAATCCCTAGTCTAACGCTTACTGAGATTTCTTTAAAAATTTGCTTAAATTCTGTGAACTTCAATTTTCCTATTTGTAACATGTAGCTACACTGGAGTTGCTATGTGGTTAAAATGTATAGATTTCTAATATTCTTGGAATAAAGGAAACTACTTCTTGTAACAAGTGTCCAGTTGGAACTCCAGAGGGTTCTGTCCTTGACCAAGTCTTGTTTTGTATTTTCATCATCACTTACAGGATCATCAGAATTTTAGAACCTCGAATGTCAACATTTGGCATTATCAAAATTTTACCTTACAAAGCTGGAATGAAAGACTAATGCAATAGATGATAGGTAGAATCAAGATTTGGGAAAGAAAGCTTGGAAAGACATCTTTTAGAACATGAAATTATAGCCTCTGTTGAAATCTCTGAATTTGAGAGTTTTAATGAATCTTAAAGATTATTTATTCTAAAATATCCTCTTCTTCTGATAAGGGATAGCAATGCAGAGAGGAAACGCTGATTGGAATTCAATACGAATTATAACATGGCACATTTACTTCTATACTTATGCTAAAGGGCCTGGAGTACTCAAGCAAAATTATATAAGATAATTTTGTTGGGTGGGTGGCTGGTAAGCACTGTATTATATCAATTTTTAATACGATATAGAAAGTAGTGGCTGGAAAATCCTATCTAAAAAAGCATATCTCTCTCCCCATTGTCTCTATTGAGGTGAAACCAATAATTCAAATTGTAAAGATTTACTCCAATTTTAAAAAAAGATGATTGCAATAATGTTTTACTTAAATGTAAACCCACTAGAAGGCTAACACATTAAGCTGTCAACTGTTAACATTGACAGACATATTGTCAATGATTACAAGCTCTAAGCACAGTTAAGAATAAGGAGCTCCAAAAATGGAATATATGCCCAGTGAATTTTGATCAGGAACACAGATGAAATAATTTTAGATCAAATAGTCATAGATCATCCTGCTCAGGCCAGTTTATAGAGAAGTTTGTTAAGAGTTCAATTAATTTGCTTTTCTTTCCTCTATTACGGCTGGAGAAAAATATAAGTCAGGGGTAGTTTTAAAATTGTAATATGTCCTTCCTACCTTTGTATGTATACCAGCATATATATTTGTTGTCAAATAAATACATGTAGCTGTCATCACTGAGATGGAAAATAGAAAACCCCAGAACTTGAAGAATTCCAGAATTCTAAGAAAAAAGGAGAAGCTCTGTCCATGACTTTTCTCCCATAGGTACCAATGTTTATCTTGACATCTTCCTCATTACCACTTCCAAAAGCAATTGGACATAATTATCCAAATATAGTTGCCAGATTAGTTTTCATCTTCCCATCTCCAAATTCTATAGCAAGCCCTGTGGACTCAATCATTTTGGACATATTCTTTGGCCATTTTTATAAAGTTCTATTTTAAACAGTTTCTTTGGGTGTTTGCACAGACAGCTGAGATGAGTGGGAGGTGCCTGACTGTTGCAGTATGGATTTTGTTTCACAAAGTGAGAAAACTAAGGAACACCACCTTGAGAAGATGCCATTTTGAAACACCTTAGATGGATGTTCTATTTTTTCCAAATAGCAGTAGCACAAAAGATTTTCTTACAATCTCAGGCTATGCCTAGGCCAGGTCTGAGGACATCTTAGTTTTCCCTATAGAGACAAGTAAATTATATAATGATCAACTGATTATTTCATGGTAATCTTGTTAATGTTTCTCCAGTTTCAAATCTGTGAAGTGGTCTTCAAGTCAGAAACTACCAGAGAACTGTCATCCCTTCTAAGGGCTAGCAACTCTATCAGCTTCCTTTCTCTCTCTTTTAAAATTCAGAGTAACATATTCATTTCCTAGATTGCAGGAATGAGCTTCTCAATGGCCAAAGCTTTAATTATCTTTTTTGTGTGTGTTTCTCTAGCATCGAGTATACTTCATTAGTCCAAGCCTAGAAAGAAACTCAGGGCTGTCACTCAATTCTAAAATGAATGGATTTTATTTATTTATTCAACATACTTCTGTCTCAAACAAAATACTTCTCTTTACATTTTGTATCAAAAAACATCTTTAACAATTTCCTCTAGCCTGGCACGGTGTCTCATGCCTGTAATCCCAGCACTTTGGGAGGCCGAGGTAGGTGGATTACCTGAGGTCAGGAGTTCAAGACCAGTCTGGCCAACATGGTGAAACCCCGTTTCTGCTAAAAATACACACACACACACACACACACACACACACACACACACTAGCTGGGCCTGGTGGTGGGCGCCTGTAATCCCAGCTACTTGGGAGGCTGATGCGAGACAACCCTCTGAGCCTGGGAGGTGGAGGTTGCAGTAAGCAGACATGGCACCACTGCACTCTGGCCTGGGTGACAGAGCGAGACTCCATCTCAAAAAAAAAAAAAAAAAATCCTCTAGGTCATACTGTATTAAAGAAACTATATAATTAAACAAGTGAACACATAATCAGAATAAAATATTTTCATAATGTCAAATTCATTTATTTAAAATAACTCCTGCAAAAATGATAGGACTCTAACTAATAGAAAGTGAACGGTTTTAGGACTGGTGGTCCACGAGTAAAGGATTACAATTTATGGTGAGTGTAATCTTGTTTTCTGAAGATCATGTTTATATTACATACTTTATAGTCACTCCTTTCACCCTGCAGCCACTTAGCAAATATAAGCTGGAACATGAACTTCTAAGACTGCAATCAATCCAGCTAGTAATTTCCTTGTCAAGCCTGCTTTTCTACTAGTGGGTAGAGGGGGTTAAGTAGGGATCACAGCTAAAATAATTTCACTTGTATGCAGAAGATATTATTGGCTATCACGGGTCCAAGGTAAGGAAAAAAATGATGATACTTCTCAAAGCATTCATTGAATAACCACTATTGATGAGGCATTTTAAATAAAATATAGCACATATATTTGAAAAAAATGTCGAAACTCAGAAAATTAATTTTTAACAATATAGTGCGGTTAGTATATGTCTATTTCACTCTTACAAATTTATTTTTATGTCCAGCATATAACTATTATAATGTTTATGAAATTTCATTGAAAGAGAAGATTTTATCTGCCCCGGTAAATAGACTGTACAACTGAAAACACTGACATGTAAAGTGCCTTGTAATTTCATTTTATTTGGGCTGTTAATAAATCTCATCCAGACAAAATACTTTTATATTCTGTAAAGACACAGGTAAAGCAAATTGGGGGAAGGCTAAGCTATTGAGAGATTTTTATCTAGTATAAAATATGTTGAAACCTACATTTGCTCTGTACGTATAAGAGTGAATCATCATTTTTAGGAGAGAAATAATAAATTGCTGCAGATTTTATTAGCACTTGAACTGCTAAACAAAAGACGGAACACATTATGGTATATTTCTTACGTTTGATGTAAATAAAAAGCCACCTTAATATGCATCTTTAAGCATATGTATTTACAGATGTAACTGAGAAAAGTAAGCATACATTACAGAGGTAAAAAAAAGTGAGTGAGGGCAGTTTATCCTTCAAAGCCATGTGGAGCTTTCCTCAGTGAAGTGCATATAGCACGTGATTTAGCAGGTCCTCTCTGGCGGCCTCCTAGCTTTCTTTAGTCTTTATTACAGAGTTCCCTTCAAGACATGTGTCTCTCTTTTGGTCCAATTTCAGACTCCACACAGGCACCCCACTACAGCTGGCACATCTGCACTAATGTCAAATGCAATTCCCTTACAGATGAGCCACTTTCTTCTTTTCTGTCCCTTCTGGAATTATCCTCATAATTCTGCATTCCTCCTTCCTCACCAAAAAGTATCCCAGAATGTACATATTTCTCAATCAAGGGATTACCAAGTCTCTAAATTAAAAACTTCTCTTGGGTTTGCTTCTGTTCTCTAAATGAACCTCTCCCAGGGCTTCTTGGAGATTACTCTCCCTCAAAACTGCTGTTTCTTGAAGTGCTTGATTCTCAAATCTAGGACATCACTACATAATTTTTTTCTTCCTTAGAATACGATCTAGTATGAGTTTTTAAATCCCCTAAGATAGTTTGTATTATAGTAAATGACCAATATAAAAAATGAACAAAATAAATGAAATAATTTTCTTTTAACAAAACAATCTAACCTTTGAAACACCTCTGTTTAAACTGAGCATTCTTTATAACACAAGATGCTTTGTTTCCAGCTTCATCCATGTCCCTACAAAGGACATGAACTCATCATTTTTTTTATGGCTGCATAGGATTCCATGGTGTATATGTGCCACATTTTCTTAATCCAGTCTATCATTGTTGGACATTTGGGTTGATTCCAAGTCTTTGCTATTGTGAATAATGCTAAATGACGAGTTAATGGGTGCAGCACACCAACATGGCACATGTATACATATGTAACAAACCTGCCCATTGTGCACATGTACCCTAAAGCTTAAAGTATCATAATAAAGAAAAAAGATGCTTTGTTATCTCTGGCTGTGTAACAAACATCACCAAAAATTAGTAGCTTTAAATGACAACAATGTATTATATATCATAACTCTGCAGATTGGACAGATATGTCCTCTGCTTCAGATGGTGTTAGCTACAGCATTACCATGGCAAAAAGGACCAGGATCACCTTGTCAGATGACTAAAAGTTGGTGCTGGCTGCTGGTTGCTCACTGGGAATTCCACTGGGACCTCTCCATTTGGCTGCTTGGACTTCCAACAAGGAGGCTGGATTCTAAGAAGGAGCTTTCCGGGAAGGACGTGCATTCTGTCAATCATCCTAAGGCTTGGGCTCAGGAAACTTTGAAATGATTCTATTTGTCAGAGCAGTAAAAGGGCCAGCACATATGCAAGGGTCGGGACCAGCAGAGAGGAAGCGAAGGACAGAAACCATGTTTGGAGAGTGACTATCACGGCATTGGGGAAAACAATCTCCCACAGGACTCCTAAGATTTTACCCTTCAGGTACATGTCTAAATTATGCCATAACTTCTTTCAGAGTCTAAAATAGACTTTCTTCCCGAGGACTCTGACTCACAATGATGTGGTTAATTTCTCTCATACCTGACAAACCAACGCCTCTCCTTTGGGTTTCCATAAGTAAAACCTACCCAAGAAACACATTTCCCTGGGATACTAAAATATTATTCTGCTACAAAGTACAAAGCCGATAGAGCATGCACTGATTATCTTGTCACCAGAATACCTCATTATGTCTTTCTTGTAATGAGGGCCTTATTTGTGAGATTCTTGAGCTATGAAATACATTCTAATTAATTTTGGAATATTAATTGATTTTAAATATTCTAAATTTATAAACCAAGAAGAATACATATTCTTTATTTGGCATAATCAATTTCATGTTGTGAATGTTGGCTGACCATGGCTATAAATATGGCACCATACAAAATTAAAATGACAATACAGATACTGAAAAACTCAGTTTTATACCAAATGAGGTTTTAATTAGAATCTGAACTTTCAAAGATTAAAAACATATATACATACATGTAGTAAAATCACTCTAGAACAATTTCTTTCTTTTTTTTTTTTTTTTTTGAGCCAGAGTCTCTCTCTGTCGCCCAGGCTGGAGTGCAGTGGCGCAATCTCGGCTCACTGCAAACTCTGCCTCCTGGGTTCACGCCATTCTCCTGCCTCAGCCTCCCGAGTAGCTGGGACTACAGGCGCCCGCCACCGCACCCGGCTAATTTTTTGTATTTTTAGTAGAGACGGGGTTTCACCTTGTTAGCCAGGATGGTCTCCATCTCCTGACCTCATGATCCACCCGCCTCGGCCTCCCAAAGTGCTGGGATTACAGGCGTGAGCCACCGCGCCCGGCCACTCTAGAACAATTTCTATTAAAAGTGACTTAAAGTAATCACCCATGCTTACTTAGCAATATCAGACTAAATGGCCAGCCTATTTATCTATCATCTCATCATCTTTCTATGTGTGTCATACCTGATGACGTACCACAGAGCTTCTAACTGATAAGCTTTAGTTGTTGTTAGATCCAATTTTCTCATCTTTGTGGATATTTGGACTTTTGACCAGGAACCAGTCACCACTTTTGCTCTCCAGCATCATGCTATCCACCTCCTCTTGCCGACATCCAGCCTAATTACAACTCGAGGAAACACACACACAGGCAGAGCACATGCAGATTAACTACGGCCTCTTTAGTAGGCACTGATTCCTAAACTCGGCTAAAGGGAATGTAAGGATAAGCCTGTATAGATTTTCTTTTACCTCAGCACAAATATATACAGAGGTAGAGTGACCCATGAATAATACAGGACAACAATATGGAACAATGGATATATTATTTTAGTAATATATTTTAGTTCAAAGACCTTTCTTTGTAAAGTATAAAATCACACCAAAATTAAAGTGGCTTAAGTTATCAAGAAAGTCTATTCTTAAATTAGCATAAATCAATAAGGAGGTCAAAGCACTTTTCTTTGAAATAGTGAATCTTTAAACACTGTTACTTCCCCAAGGTAACTGGAGTCTAGTAGCCACCTTGTCTCTCATCAGAACCACCATATTTAACCTTACTTATCTTTAACAAAAATTATTACTGAAAAATTTAAAAATCAGATATTAAACTTTATGGTTTATAGTTTAACTTTGTAGGTTATCTGCACAAACTACACATAGCAAACCTCAAATTTGAACAGGAAATAAAATATTTTTCAATGTTTGAGCTCTCTACACCTTTTTTCCTTTAGTTGATTTTACAAATGTCTTCTTGAAGTCACTCTTCCATCTCTTCAGAGTGGATTATTACAAGAAATTCAGTACCAATTCAGCTAAATGTGTAGGCCTTGATTTATGCGTACAAAGTAAAAACATTATCTGAAATCTAAATTAACGGACAGATATCTCCATTATAAAATTCAACCGATTTAAAAAGTATTAACAAACACATCCGATAGTTACATTCTGTGATTTAAAAAATGTAAATAGCATCTGGCTGTACTAGTTTTCCTTGAGAAACTCATTAGTAACCAAAATGGGACAGTGTTCAAAGAGCAATTGCCTGGGTAGGAACTAATACACACGGTATTCATGAAACGACATTGGCCGAAATATGCTGGGAGAAACATGTTGCTTTGTAAAACTCATTTCAAGGACAAACTTACAGCCTCTTCATCACGGTCTAATTTCCCCACCTCAAGCTTCTATCACAAGGAATGTCCTTCTGAAAGCAAGATCTGTAGCAGCACCTATGTATTTGTGATGTGGATGAAGACGCATGCTCTGCCACAGTAGGCGACAACATCCTGAGCCAGTCCTGGTGAAGCGACCGTCATCAGCAACAGCATGCAATCATGTCTCTCTTCATTTCTGATGGTGTCTGTGTCAAAATGACAGAATAAAATGCTGCAATCTATTTACTTAGTCTGACCATCCAGGCTTATATTTATGGCAGACATTGTGCACAATATTCAAACAAATTAACATCCTATTGAAAAAAATGTGAGAACTCTGCACCATGGTAAGAAATAATGGGGACTCAATATATGTACACTGCTCTCAGTCTTTCCCTCTTTAAGTGACTGAGAAACAGAATTCAGGTGAATATGTAAATTCTAAGTATCTTTCTTGAGATAATTATAATTACAGATGGAATATCCACATCTTCAGAATGGGAAACAAGCAAATTCATATTTGTTTTTAATATTCAAATTAATGTTTCATCCTCTGTATGCCAGAGTAAGCAGGAATTCATACTTTCTTAATCATTCGGTCTTGTCTAACTCTTATATTGAATTGTCCAGAAAATTGGGGACTTGCACAGCCCCAGGGACAAGCCACAGTTTAAAGTCACAGTTTTCCTAACATATGCTTCCAGGGACTCCACTCTGTGACACAGCTTCACCGTGATAAACATCAGACACCAACAACTGGGTTTTGCCTGCAGCCTCTAGTAATGATCTACAGTGTTTCTGCCGGAAGTTGTGAAGGAAGTAGAGGCGTCTCTGTCACCAATCTTGGGCTGGGCTTGGTTGCTCTCTGCCCAGGCATTGAGCTTCTCCATGTTGCAGCAGTTTATGTGCAAGTGCTAGCACCTGTCTCTGAACACACGACCATGGTTCCTAGAGAGAGGATACTCTCTTTCACCACTCCTTGTGGGTATGAGGGTTCCCATTGTGGGTCTGGTGTTTAATCCTTGCATGTGGAAAAATCCACAAGAAAACTCACCACCCTAGAATGGCTGGTATCTTAATCCCTTCGAGCTGCTGTAACAAAACACCAAAAACTACGTGACTTATAAATAACGTGAATTATTTTTCACAGTTTTGGAGGCTAGGACATGCAAGATCAAGGTACCAGCAGATTCAGGGGCTGGTGAGGGCCCATTTCCCAGTTCATGGGTGATCATCTTTCCCTGTGTTCACACAGGGTGGAACAGGCAAGGGTCCCCTTTATAAGAAGCACTAACCCCATTCATGAGGGCGCCACTCTCGTGACCTAATCACCTCCCAAAGGCCCCCTGCCTAGGATCATCACCTGTTGAGGTGGGACTTCAATATGTGAATTTGATGAAACATAAACATTCAGACCGTGGCAGCTGGATTGGTAAAGAAGAGCTCATGTCCACATGCCCCCATGTCTCCCAGAAATGTTTGAACTCTACATCAAGCACTACATAAGACACAGCCCAAGCGAAGTCTCAACAGAAAATTGTCCCGCCACAAAATCACCCTTGAAAACAGTCACTACTTTCCCTCCATGTACACAACTGAAGGAGGCACTTCAGCATTCTTGCTTAGGAAAGAATAAGGAGAATCTGATTTAAATCTGGCAGCTTCTCCTATGCTAAGGAGAAGTTAGCAACTTTCAAATAAAAACCACACAAAGTTAAACTAGAAGCGCCTGACCAGAATTTGTAGTGTATAAATAACATGAGAATTTATATTTTATTCACTGAGCTTTATTTTACATCATTCACATTTTTATCAGCTTTTGTGTTTCCAGTCCCAAACTCATGCCTTTGAATTCAATATTTCCTTAAATAAATTTACACTTTCAGCATTCATTGTTTGGGGAAAACTGAATCTAAATTCCACTGTCTTTTACAACTAGCAGTTTGTGGATATTAATATTTTGTTCAATTTGAACTGAGATTAACATTTTTATACCTAAAGAAATGATTTCCATTAATAAAAACACAGTGACAAATCCCTGCTTATATAGATATTCTCACATGTACAGAAGACACACACTGTTCTATTCAGGCTGGGCTGCTCAAAAGATGGGCTATATATAAAAATCCATATATAACCAGGCAGTGTTCACATTTAATAAAACTGGATATGTGGCAACAAGCAAATCAAACAGGTTATTTGAGTTTTTGCATTTTTGTTTGGCTGAAACATCCTTGGAATGCACTGATTTGTAGTTTTATTGTCTTTTAAATTCCAGATATGAAGCAAGACTTAAGTTTTAAACATTAGTAATATACAACAAATAAGCCATGCAACATATTTCCTGATAGATTCAATAGGAATGGTGTTTGGACAAAAAGGAAGATATTTGAAAATGGGTAATATTTTGTCACAATACCTCATGTTCAATTTGTGTGTGAAAAATTATTTTCTGCATAGTCAAACATGCATTCCACTTTACAGCATGAAGGCATACCTACATTGATATCTTGATTTCATTCAAAGAGTAAATATTTGTCATGTCTATTTAAAATATTGCTACCTTCCTACATAAACCAGAAAATCAAGATAAAATTCATTTGAAGGTGAAAGGGAAATAGCTGAAATGCCAAAAGGATACTTAGCTCTCAGAGCTGACATGGTTATAATGACAATTATTATAAATCAAAAATTTCCCTTTAATAAGGCTATTAGAAATATGGAAACAAATGAAAATTTAAGATTCATGATGCAATCTATGATTAATTCTATATTTTTCACTTCTTGAATATGCCACACATGTGACTAGATATTTCTAAATATTTAGACATGAATTTTGACTTTAATTTTTTACCAGAAACACGAAAAATGAAATCACTTTTGTGATGTTTCCAAAGCAAAGGATTATGATTAATTACATATTGATATTTTCTTTTAAATATATTTATTTAAATGTCATTTAAAACATTTATAAGATTATCGTTGAATAATCAAAATTTTGTTTATTTGAATGAATAGAAAATCCATCTTTATACTGAGACTACACTGAGAAAAAATCTGAAAAAAAAAGAGACGGTAATTCTAATATTTTAACACACAATTTTAATGTTGCAAAATAATTGCTGATTTGCGACGTGGTTTTCTGTTTCTGGTTGAATGTCTCAAAGTAGAACATTTTTATTGTGTTTTTCTTCAGTTCTCCAGTTTAATCACTGTTATTTTTAAAATTAGATATGGTATCTTTCATATGAAGTCTTATTGATTCAGGGCCAATTGATCTGCCTACATACCAGAAACAAAATAATAGAATTCAACAAAATTTAAAACAACAATATGAAGAATCAGTAACTTTTCTTTCTCCATCTGATTTCAGAAAGTTTTCCTGAACTTCAGACTTTGGCATCTGTGGCACTGCAAATACCTTGCTGAGAGTGTCACTCACTGTGTCTATCACATTGTAAGCGTGGGTTACAAAAATATTTTGATGGAAGGTTTGTGATTATATCACAGCCAAAATGTGAGAGAGAAGTAAGGTATTGGGTACCAAATGTTTCAGACTTGTAGAAATAGAGAAATGAGGCAGAATGGGGGGAGCAGGGTCTTGATGACAAAGCCTGCTTGCTGTTCAGGTCTTCTTCACCTCAGCCTGGGATGCCTGAGTATTTTGATTATTTTGAATTTGGCATGTTTAAATAGATATACTTTTTCCACTTCATAGTTATTGCTTTATATGAATCTATGAAAAGGAGATTGTCTGTTCTGAAAAATAATGATGTGTGAATGTGAAGTGAGATGTAGAATTTTGCCAGGATTTTAATTCAGAAGTCGTAATAAAGTATATATAGAATTTTCTGAAAATTACATTAAAAAACATTTCCTCCAAAATGGTATAAGTCTATTTGTAAAATCTATATGTATATATATATATATATATATATATATATATATATATATATATATACACACATACCAAAAAATGTTTGCACTTCCTAAAACATTTTAAGGCATCATTATTGATAATTGAAGGTTAAAATAAATGAGGAAATTTCATGACATGTATCTATATCTATCTATCATCTATCTCTGTTTATAATAGGAGATAACTACATAAAATATTTGAACTCATCAATGTTAGATATACTAGAGAAATAAAGAAATTAGAAGTAGTGCTGAGAGTGATTCTGGTGGTTCAGAAGCCACACTGACTAGCAATACTTTATATGAAAAAATAACAAAATAATATTTTACTTTTATCCTGTTTTATGCTCTGAAGTTTCAATAAATATCACACCTAATAACTAACATGATAATCTTCATCATTAATTAATTAATTAAATTTTTTTTTGGCGGAGTCTCACTCTGTCGCCCAGGCTGAAGTGCAGTGGCGTGATCTTGGCTCACTGCAACCTCAGCCTCCTGAGTTCAAGCAATTCTCCTGCCTCAGCCTGCAGAGCAGCTGGGACTACAGGTGCACACCACCATGCTCAGCTAATTTTTGTTAGGACTATCATGCAGTTTGTATTTTTTAACTCTGAGTAATTGGCCAAAATTAATTTAAAGGAATCATGTTTTCTGTATATGCATATTCCTCCTGGATAGAACATCACCGACTGTTTTGTCCTAACATCAACGACTATGTTCCCTTTATGTTAGATGTAGCATAGTGATATTAATGGCTTTCTCAGGAAAACACATGACTTTTCAGATGACTTGAATAAACACTCAACATTTAATATATTAATACTTACAGATAATGTTTAACAATGGACAATCTTGTCTTTGCGGGGCAAAGGCACAATGCAGTCTGCATCGGTATGTGGGGAAAATTGTGCATGGTTGGAACAAATATCATTCTTTAATTATGTGAAGGATCATCCTCCCCTATTATAGCTAAATTGATTATCTGAATTTTCTTTCAGGTATAGTTGAATACTATAACCATGTTTGTAGATTAAGCAACAACTGCCTTATTCCAGACAGTAAAATGAGAAATGTAAAATGGCAACAATGTTAAAGACAACAGTTGATATATTCTATAAGCAGATGATTCTATAATGCCTATTTTAAATGCTAGGATATTTTCCTATTTATATACAAGAATGAATACTGATTGCAAATATTTGATGTAACGGCTTTCCGTATTTCTAATAAGAAATTACTGAAACTAGTACCTATGGTAGAACTATCATATTATTTCATATAACCTGGTTCAAGCTTATTTAGTGGCCCTAGCAGAATACTCTTCTTTGGAAGTTACAAATATCTGTTTAAGAAGGTTATATCTGAGGGTTTTGGGCAGTCTATATTCTTTAAATGACATACTAAGTCTGTTCTGGTTGGTAATTTGAACAGGGAAGCTCCACCATTATTTCCCATTCTTTCAAGCATCACTTTCTAGAATTCTAATACAACATTTCTATATGTTCGCTGGGATTCACAGCTTGTCAAATTATTAAATTTTCTCCATCTTTGCTAGTTGACCTGACCATTAAAATGTAAAAAATGAGTCTTCATGTATTTAATAACTGCCAATATATTCTGAAGTTGAAATGCAGAATATATTCTATACCTTGCAAGTTCCTCGGTGAATTTGAAGACTATTTTCTTAGCCTAAGACCTGTAGAAAGCAGCGACTGAGACTAAGCTTTATTACTCATACTTCAGTGGAAGGTGGAACCCCAGGATAGCAAGAGTAGGGGTTATGAGGCAGAATAGCATGGGGAGCAATGCAGGTCCCACATCATTATGCTGGTCACTGCCTCACGAGAGGCTATAGAATGACCCGTTGCGTGTCCAGCAAGCACACGTGTGCTGCCTTCAACATCATCTCGAGAACAGAGACACTGCCTTATGGCATGGGAGTCTATACAGTGAGGAAGTGCAGAGATGAGCTAGAAACATGGCGAATGATATTGGCCAGCCACAGACAGTGAGACTGAAGAGACTAAACAAAGTTAATTATCTTTAAGCATCAGCTAAGGCTGAGTGTACTAGTTCATTTTCATGCTTCTATGAAGAAATACCCGAAATTGGGTAATTATAAAGGAAAGAGGTTTAAATGACTGACCGTTCCACATGGCTGGGGAGTCTTCAGGAAACTTACAATCATGGGAGAAGGGGAAGCAAACATGTCCTTTTTCACATGGCAGCAGGAGACAGAAGTGCAGAGTGAAGGGGAAAAGTCCCTTATAAAACCAGCATATCTCATGAGAACTCACTCACTATCATGAGAACAGCATGGGGCGACCCCCTCCATGATCTAATCACCTCCCACAAGGTGCCTCCCCAAGACACAGAGATTACAATTCAAATTATAATTCAAGATGAGATTTGGGTGAGGGCACAGAACCAGAACATATCACTGAGCAAAGCAACACAGTGTTAGGGAGAAATGTGGCCAACAGAAGCTCCAGAGCTGCCTAAGGTAGGTCTGGTATAGACAACACATTAGACTTGGCACTTTGTGACCCTCACATTCCATAATCTTTTCCTAAATGCCCAGGGTATTTCAGTGTTACACTCCACTTTTGCTCTGTGAGTTGCTACCTGGACTTTAGACGCATCCATAGAAAGATTTCTCAACCTGGCTCTGTTGACATTTGGGCATGGACACCGTCTGTTATGGAGCTGTCCTCTATGCATTGTAGGATATTTGCAGCATTCCTGGTCTCTATTCACAAGATGGTAGTAACTCCCCCACCCAAGTTTTGAAAATCAAAAGCATCCTCAGATATTGCTAACTATTGCATGGGTGGCAAAATTGCTTCAGTTGAGAACCACTGATTTATACAACCTACATGCTCATTAGGATCTACCTGTCTAGTCTCCCAATTCCCTAGCCTACCTTTCTGAAGAGATTACCTCTATAATTGTTAAGGATGTTATACACAAGCAGGCTATAATGAACGCAGTGCATTTTGGTTTTCAAGGCATCGTATTCTCCTCATTTTTCCCCTCCTCTTCCCTAAGCACTTATTCCCTGACTTTTTGATACTTATTTTTCTAAGAACCTAAATAATAGGTGAATACAGAGGCCATGTTTACAGATCTGGCTTACTCTCTGCATGTATCAAATTATCTTTGTGAGCTTAATCCCACTATTATAACCATCCCTATTTGAGTGGAGTGACACATGCATAGGCTCTGAATCAGACTGGCTAGTCATGAATCCTAACTTCACCTCTTAGAGCTGCTGGAACCTTAGGGGAGATGTTGACAATAAGTGACAATATCCACCTCTTAAAGTTGTGTCAGAACTACAGGACACAATTAACATCATGAACGCAATATTAATGTAATTGTCATGATACCTGGCATATCTTAAACTGTGAATATTTCCTATTACTCTCATCTCTGTTTATATTCGGATCTCTCACCTGCGCTTTACTCCATAAAACATCTTCATGAGATATGCTCTTATTTCTTGTGAGATCTAAAGATTTTGCTTCTCATTGATCTCATCAAAACAAGCCCACTTTATACTACTTTGCAAGGACACGAGCTTTTGTCTTCTCTCATTTAACAAATTTTGAGATGGCTCTACTGTTAACTTCCACATCTAGTCCTCTTATTCTTTATTTAATACAATGACAACTCATATTTGGATTGTGCTTTACGGTTTTGAAAGCATTTTCAATTTGGTTCTTTCAAAATCCCAGTGACTCAGGAAGGACATGTACATTTGTTATTAATTCAAAAGGAAAAAATGTTATTTAAGAATTATGATGAGGCAGACACTGTTCTGGTTTCCAGACAATGAAAATAATAATCATGGTCCAGATTAGTATAAAGTATCTACCTTGTTACTTTGGCTCTGGGTCACTCCCTCTGTCTTATCCTTCTTCCATGTCACTTCTGGATAATTTTGTCAAAACACACTAGTGTAAAGATCTAAAATCATCCCATATGTTTACATGAGAGTTCTCTAGCACCAGCTTTGAATGTGACTTGTATTTCCCAGTATTTTTCAAAACATTTTAACTCCTAAAACTCCATTTTGGTCAAGTAAGTCTGCTTACTTTCTGTCATATATTCTGGGTTCCTGTAACCATTTTTTCTCCCACTAATACTACTTCGTCTTCCTGAAATTCTGGTTTTAGTCTTTTTGGATTGTGTAAATCCTACATATTATTTACAAGTGCAATTTCCTATGCCTACGCTAGTGCAGGATAGTATTTTTTACATCTGAGCTCTTTACAGTCCTGAGTTTCACACTGTTTAACATGTGATTATTGTCCAATTATTTTATATATTTTAGATTCTGCCTCTTGGGCACGCTGGTAAACCTGGTAAAAGATGGAATCATATATATGAGTACTTTGATACTTACAGATATTTAGAATTTGATGTCTACTTATAAATATCTCCCGGATTAGCATTTGATCTTCCCAGAGATGAAGAATAATGATTTATCCCAAAGAGAAGCTATCATAGAGGAAATTTCAAGTATATTGGTAATCTGGGGTTTGCAGCGTCTCTGAAAACACACCATATGCTATCCACCTCTTCTAGTTAATATTCTTTCTGATCATGCTCATTTTAGACACGATTTTTTTGCCCTCAACAAGGCTGATCACTATAAAACCACTCTCAGAAAGTACTCTTCTTATCGTCTTGGCAGAAAATCTTCTTTCTCCAGCCAAGACAGGAGTTACATCACAACTTCCAGAAATGTGTGACTCATTTACACCTAGTGTTTGGTGTTGTTGTAGGATGTTTTCAAAGGTAAAAGATTAATATTGCATTAGAACATATAGGTATGTCTAGGGTATTTTTATAACTTGATACAAATAAAAACTTTTTGGAGGACTGGGAAAGAAATAGATTTACAATCCTGTAGAATTGGTCCTAGCATAAACAAGTACTTATTTTATTTTATTTTCCTGTCTATAAGAATCACACCTGGTTTTACATGTTATTCTCAGGAAAAGATTGGAAATGACAATGGCAGTTAAGGGTTGCTGTTAGTGTAATTCCAGTTTTCACTTGTGGTATTCTTTTGCCTCAGTCCAAAGCATTTTGGCTTCCAGGTCAATTTCACCTTTCTATTACATACAGTCCATTAAAATATACAAAAAGAACATCTGTGTCAATCAGTTTTGTAAACACAAAGATGCCTTATTTTCTGTCTTCGACAAGAAATTTGAAAGATTTTTCCACTCTGAAAATTTGTCTCTTCTAATAAAATATGCATAAGTTATATAAGTTGAGTTTGATTGTTATTAAAATAAATTACTCTACATTTAGAGATTTTTCAGGACACTTTAAAAATTGAATTATGTATTTTTTTAAGTTTAAAATTGAAATATTTATTTCAGAATTATGTGGCTGAGGTGTTTTCCTGAGTGGTTCCCAAGAATGATACCTCACCACGGATTTTGGCACCTGTGAAGTTAATTTCTATGGCCTTTTCCCATGGTTCGTCAGAACACCAAACCCACATTTCTTGATCATTTCCTCTTTCTGTTTTTAAACGTAAACATCAAATCTCAGGTTCAGATAAAAAGAAGTAAGTAGATGTGGAGGAAGGTGAAAGAGTTTCTCTTTTAGCTAGGGAGCCAAACGTGAGTGTCTGAGTAAAAAGCAGAGAGAAGCTGAATCTGCAGCAGCAGCAGGATTAATCTATGGCCTCTCCTCACTGGGCAGCATCTTAAATTGAAAGTGTTCTCAGGTCACCACGGTTAATGAGTCTTATTTACAAGAAGTAATTTAAGTAGTGACTTAACTTCCACATCATGCAGAACTGTGCCTTGACCTGCAAAGGAAATAAATAAGAGTTGTCTAGGTCTCTGGGGTTACAATGTATGTCCTGTTAACTCATCAAAGGAGCTGGGAGATGAGTAATTATTTCTTCCCCAGTGAACAAGAGGAATAGGAGCCAGGTAACCTACTCAGAAAGGAAAATAACATTCCTGAATGGCCGAATGCTGCTGGTACAATACCATGTGTTAACCACCAAGGCAAAAATGCATTTTGTGACTATGACCTCTGAACCACTGGTTGAAAAGTGAAAAATCCATTAGCCAGCTAAATGTTCTATTTGAGAACTAAGGAAGATTGTGAAATCAGAAGGCTGAGTATGCTTTCCACTTTGGTAGGCTGTTGAGTAGTTGTGATCCCTGACCAATGACTTCTAAGAAAAAGAAGAGAATAAATAATCGGTATGACAGCGGCAGATCTTCCGGTTCCAGCTCTGGAACTTCTTGGCAGCTATGATGAGCATGCTATCTGCCAACTATTCCATAGCGTGAGGTGTCACTGGCAGCAGTGAAGGGGACATGGCAATTAACAATCATCTTTCTGTCATTTGAGTGACAAGGTGAAATTTCTAAAAATTACATGAAGATAGTTCAACATTAAGCATATAAGTTATTTGGAGGCTTCTCAGCTTCTCAAAAATTGACTAACTGATCATTTAAAAGTGATGGCAAATACTCTCAATAAATTATATTTTTACCAATTGAGCTAAGTTCCTTGTTTTGCATGTGATATAACCTAGAATAATATTATTATTTCCTCATTTGTCTCATAAGTAACTCTTCTTCACTGTTATACTCTCAAAACTTCATGTAAGTACTATCTTCTCTGCGAAAGCTTGCCTAACTCCCACTCCCTATACCCTGAACGGAATAAGATGGTTTTCCTTATCCTTCATTTGCTTGTAGGGTGTCTGCCTGTTAATAGAATTTATTATAATACATTTCTATAAATTTGTTTGTTTCCTCTTTTGGTCAAGAACTTTCTCTGTGCAAGTTTGTTGCACAAATGTTGAAGGGATAAACCTTGGTGTCTAGCAAAGTAGACAGTTTTTAAAATTGATGAGCATTTGTTGAATAAAATTAAATAATTTCCTTGTAATCCTACATTTTCTCAACAGCTTGGGTTTACATTTTACTACTCTAAATTCTGATTTTTATATAAGAAGTCATATTCTCAGAAATGTGGTGTGTATGTGTGCATTCTTATAGGTGTGTGTGCACCAAAGTAACTCCTCCCTACGTCCTTCACTGGAAGTCTAGGATAGTTAAACTAATATTTCTGAGTGTACAACTCCAATGTAGAAGTGAAAAGAATGTTGGACTTAGATTTCAACAGTTTGGGAATTATATTTAACTTTCTTCATTCACTAGACATATAAATCTGCAAAAACATCTGAATTGCTCTAAATGTCCATTTCTTCATGTGGAAACTAGTGGTGAAAGTAGTGCCCACCTCAAAGAGTTACTGTGATCATAAGGCGTAAGATTTTTTTTTTCTGAAAATTCTTGATAAAGTGAATCATATCAAAATGAATTTTTTCAGTCACAATCCTTTAGACATACTTTTTAGCAATGAAAGAACTGCATTTTAATTAGCATTTTTATTCCTATATCTCCCATTATACTGAGAACTTCTCAAGGACAAATGCTTTGTTTTCCTAACATTGTAACCCTATGCAGCACATAATAGGTGCTTTAAAAATGTGTTGATTAAGGGATGCACTCAGGACTAAAGAGAACATAGAGAAACAACATAGAGAATGTAGAGAATATGGGGGGAGTGGAGGAGGCAGAATGCTGCGTTCCATACTGGATTGTGTTGTTGAAGTTTCTGGCCACTGCTCTGTAGTCGTGTCTTCACTCGGACACGCTGAGCAGCCTAAGAAAAGGAAGTCGTTATTCTTTAAATGCACAGATTCTCACTGCCTGTGTCTATGAAAAGACAGCAGTGTGACCACTGTCATGTTTGAAGACCAACACAAAAGGAACATCTGTTTAATTTCCAATCTAACTAATTCTGTTAAATTTGGGTGTAGGATTTGGGGTTTATTACAATATATAATTAGTTGCATAACTTAATTAGTAAAGTACTTTTAATTACTCATTTCCAGTTTGTGGTGTCGTATATTATATTTTGTATGCATTTTGGAAGCAGCTTTGGAAAGGAGCTATTAGACGATGAAAAATTGTTTGTCGTAAATTGAACTCCTTAGATCAAAAGGTTTGGTGACAGCTGAGGAAACAGTTGTGATGAGGAGATAAAGTGAGATTTGACTAGAAAGAGGTGCTAAAAGAAAACAGAAATAACAGAAGTTTAGGTTCATAAGAAATAATTGAGGAAGTAGGTCAACGTGAGGATGTGGATCAAAGACCTTATTTCTACACTTTAAGGCTAAGAATATCACTAAGGGAGAGAGAAGATATCTTGAAAATAATAAAAATCTTCAGATTAGGTATCCTCTTATAAACTCATACCCAGATACTGGACTCTACATTGCAAATTTTACTTAATTATTTGAAAATCTGCATTCCAACTGTTGTTTCTGAATTCGACTATGTATGTATCTATATATTTACAGTCTATTTTTCTCTATTAAGTAATTAGTTAACATCCATCATATGTAGGAGACTACAATTTTAGTACGTTAGGAATAAATCAATAGATAACAACACAGTGTTCCAATCCTAAAGTAGTTACCAAATTAACAGAAAGAAAGATAACCACAGGATTCACTATGAGGCTAAATGTACTTTTGATGCAAAGTGGTATTTATTGTAGTGGTTCCCAAATTAGCTGATCTTAAGAATCAACTAGGCAGATTCTAAAATATATAAATTTATTTTGCCACACTAGAGATCTGCTGAAATTTTATAGAAAAGTGGACATTAAGATATAAATAAACTAAAAAAGCAAAAATTGGCCACAAGAGTATGTGGTGGAGCCATAAAAAATTGCAAATCCTTTTTGCAAGATGGTCACTAATAATTACTGATGACAAAATGTAGTGAAGTGAGGGTATTCATGATGAAAATAAAAAGTCCATAAAAACATCTATATGTTCGTTCCTAGATAATTAGAATCTTAGGCAATGTGGAACCATCAATATCTTGGGGATAGCGAGATACTGGGGAAGGACTATCTGTTAGCAAAGACGTAATCATGGTGTCAAGAACAGATAGGAGAATGAGATAGACTGGAGAAAGCTTGCATAACCTTTTAATAATAATTCAGATGAATACAATGGGGGCTGTGTGAATGGACATTATAGAAGGGATTCAGAGGAAGGGTGGCAGGGATGGTTTGAGCTTTCTGGGTTGGAATTTTAGATTAAGGCATTAAGTCAACAAAGACGGGGACATAGAAGGAAAATAATGTGTTTATATTTGGTCATTTTACATGTATACAATATTCACATGGACATATGCAGCAAAAAGCTGTAAATGTTGGTTAGGAGTTAAAGAGAAAAGTGAAAACTTGAGATATAAATTTGAGCATCATTTTAAGATGTGAGATGAAGCACAGACAGCAAATGAGATCAGTGGTACAGATCAGAAATAATATCAAATAAGTGAGAAATGGGGAAAAATTGAGTTAGAGGAAGAAGAGAATAGATGGTCAAGAAGGTAAAAAGGATCATCAGAAGTACGTAAGTGCATTTACTACAAAGCATGATGATAAAGAAAGGTGCTATGAAAAAAAATTAATGGAATGAAGAGTAAGAAGACATAGGATTTGTTACTTAAGAGGAAAATGAAATTCTGTGCTGATAGTAAATGTCAGATGCTTTTGCCTATCCAGAATCCAGCCCTCCTTCTTCAGGTTAACAAGAAGTAGGAAAAAATGTAAATGCTCATCAACCATAGAATGACTGAAAAATACACTTCATCTTCTTGATGTAGTTATAACAGACACTTATGCTGTTAAAAGCTATTAGTCTTCTAGTAATGACACAGAAGGATATGCATACCACATTGGAGTAAAAACGGTAAAAGAAAGCCATTATGAAACAATCATTCATTGCAAAAGTCAAAGCAATGAATGCATTGATGGGCTGAGGCACGTGCACTGAGGGAGTGTAGTGAAGCCCTGGGAGCCGGATCCAGGAGGGGCCAGGGGCTCATGGTGATCCCAGAGAGGCCACAGTCATCTTACAGAGGTCACAGCAGTCCCAAGAGGTCACAGGCTTCCCATAGAGGTCACAACAGTCCCACAGATATCATGGCCGTCCCACAGAGGTCACTGTGCTCACTCTCAGGGTCAGAAGGATACAGCTTCCCTTAGGTGTGGGGCAGGAAAGAAACATGAAACCCAGGGCTCCAGAGCACTGATTTCTGAATATATGAATTGGGTGTCCAGTAACATTTAAACAAATATTGGGGATCACCACACACTTTTCATCTGACTTTGAATTTTACCAGAAGTGAGTTTATTAAACATTTAACATCTCCCTGCAACCTACTGTCACATCAAAACACACAAGAAATTATATTTTACTTCAAGATGATCAAGAATCATGGTCTACTGGTGGCTCTGCAAACTGTACAAATCCACTTTTTAAAAATGCTGCCCCTCTGTTCCAATTTTCCTCTTGGCTCAGATTGGTGAATACATGGTCATAACCCCAAATCAGCACATAGACATGACTCTAGGAGCAGCTGCCACGGTGTCCCAATTAAGGACCTGAAGAGTAGACTCAAGTGGAGAAGGAAAAAAAAAGTGAAGGCTGGGCCAGGCGCGGTGGCTCATGCCTGTAATCCCAGCACTTTGGGAGGCCGAGGCGGGGGGATCACCTGAGGTCAGGAGTTCAAGACCAACCTGGGCAACATTGTGAAACCCCGTCTCTACTAAAAATAAAAAAAATTAGCTGGGTGTGGTGGCATGTGCCTGTAATTCCAGCTACTCGGGAGGTGGAGACAGGAGAATTGCTTGGACCCAGAGGCAGAAGTTGCAATGAGCCGAGATCGCGCCACTGCACTCCAGCCTGGGCTACAGAGAGAGATCCATCACAAAGAAAAAAACAAAAAAAGTTTGAGCGAAACTCCAATTGTATTTTTATAACCTCATGAGTAAAATATGGCCAATAGCCTTTATTTCTCTTAAGAGTCCTTTGGGCCGTAATATTTTGACAACGCAATGGCTTATTTTGTTTTCTTTCAGCATATGATTTGATCCAAAGGATATAAAAGCATGAATCCAGGCAATAACCCCAGTTTCTAGAACCAGGCTAATACCATCAACAAAGCTATAGATCTGTAGCTGATCAATTGAATGTTGTATCTTCCTTGTGCTGAGCTAAGCCAGAGAGAGAGAATCAGGATCAGAAGATGATACCATGGGGCTGAACTGAAAGGAAAGAGTAAATTGTCTCAGCTGTAAAGGCAATGGACCCAGATATGAGAGCATAAGCTGATTATTATACTTAGCTAGAACCAAGGCATTAAAACAAAACAGTAGGAGCCCCCACCACAACTGCCATAGCTAAAGGGATGCAAAAACAGGTGTCCTCGTTTAAGGATATGCGTGCACACCATGTGAATATTCCATAAGGAAATCGGATTGTAATGGCCATTTGGCACATGTTAAATGTAATCAAGAGTAAGGTAATTTTTAAAACATCTTGATTATGAGCCGAATACTTCAGAGAAATGCCTCCTTTTTTTTTTTTTTTTTTTTTGAAGGGAGTGGGTAGGACAGAGTCTTGCTCTGTCACCAGGCTGGAGTGCAGTGGCACAATCTTGGCTAACTGCCACCTCTGCCTCCCGGGTTCAAGTGATTCCCCTGCTTCCACCTCCCAAGTAGCTGGGATTACAGGCACATGCCACCATGCCCGGCTACATCCTTATAGGAGGAATACCTAATGTAAATGAGAGTTAATGGGCACAGCACACCAACATGACACATGTATACATATGTAACAAACCTGCACGTTGTGCACATGTACCCTTAAACTCAAAGTATAATAAAAAAATTACTGAATTTCTGTGTAGAAATATTGTTAATGGTGTTTATTGTTTATAAACTTCTGATTTGATGGCTGAAAACAATTAAAAATAAGATATTGGTCTTTCTGAATCTCAAGTCAGACTTGCTTTTGATCTTTATCAACTTGTCTTAGACTATTCAGGCCGCTGTAACAGAATACCATAGACTGGGTGGCTTGTAAACATCAGGAATTTATTTCCTACCACCCTGAAGACTGAGAAGTCCAAGGTCAAGGCAGCATCAGATTCAGTGTCCAGTGAGTGGCCACTCACCGTTTCATACATGATGCTTTTGACTCTGTGCTCACAAGGCTCCTCCTCATTTGCCCATAAAAAGAGAGAGAGAGCTCAGATGTATCCTCGTCATCTTATAAGGACACTAGTTCTATTGTATTGGGGCCCCACCCTTATGACCTAGTTTAACCTTGATCAGCTTTTTATAGGCCTGTCTCCAAATACATTCACACTGGGAGTTTAGACTTACTTCAACATATCAATTTTGGAGGACACAATTCCATCCAGCTCAATAGCTATTATGGATGAGATATTTATATTACTTATACTCCTCAAAATTCAGTGAGAACTTGTGGGACCTTTGGTTTCTGTAAGTAACCAGAAAATCTGGCTGGGTGGAATGGCTCACACCTGTAGTACCAGCCCTTTGGGAGGCTGAGATGGGTGGATAGTTTGACTTTAGTCCAGGAGTTTGAGATCAGTCTTGGTAATATAGGGAGATTTTGTCTCTACAAAATAACAACAACAACAAAGAAATAAACTAACTGAATGTGTGGGTCTGTGGTCCCAGCTACTTGTAAGGCTGGTGTGAGAGGATTGCTTGAGCCCAGAAGGCAGAAGTTGTAGTGAGCCAAGATCATGACACTTCACTCCAGCCTGGGCGAAACAGTGGGATCCTGTCTCAAAAAAAAAAAAAAAAAAAAAAAGAGAAAGAAAGAAAAGAAAAGAAAAAGAAAAGCCGTTAGGCTTGAACTTTGGGGTAAACCACCTCCTCTTCACTCCTCACAAACGACTAACTCTATATAACCTGTTTGTGATGTGTTCTGTGTGTTTGGTGGCATTAAAATATTCAGCAGAAAAGCAAGCTTGGTACAATTTTTAAAATTCATCTTATAAAATGAGGAATAATTCACCATAAAGAAGAGATACCAAGTGTATGAGTTTAGAATCAAGTGGCAAAGTGATTGCATACAGCAGGTAGATTGGCTCCAAAGAAGAGTCCCAAATAACTTTGGTGAAGGGACACAAGTTTGCGTGGGTGAGGTCATAGTGAGGGAATTGGAATCCCGTTAAATTGTTCTCTGCATAGTAAAGAGCAATAGCCAGTAAGAGGTACACCAAGATGCAGAAAATGTTCACTCAGGCACAAATGAAAGCAAATGTAATAAACAGTTTTTGTAAGAGTTCAGATACCAACAATTTAGTAGATGGAGCTTAGATTTCATTTTCTTGTAAAGGTTTTACTGGATTATTTTCTTGTGTACAATTAAAAAAAAGAAAAAATCCCTTTCATGTATTTCATTAAAAATGTGCATTTTAAGAGAAAGCACAAATGAGAAGATTGGGTGTTCTATTTATGATGCTTGATTATAATCATCCAGCAACTCCCCTGTAATTCTGTTCAAGGCAGTCTAAACAGAAATTATTAGGAGTTAAAGTAGAATCCAGAGAAGTGCCTATGGGGAAATTGCTCATTTTCATAAGACTAGGTTGTACCCCTTGATGTTCTCTGATGACAGAAATGTGCCAACTGTCAAATTGTGGCCATCTCCACATTGTTTGGCTGTGAGGTCCTGCTAGCTTCTCCTTTCAGTGGCAAAACCAAACAAACCTATGGTCTGAATTTATTCTCCTCTGCATTTAACCTACTGCCCAGGTTTTATATTGCTGCTGCTTTCTCCCAGATTCAAGACATCAGTTCCAGCTTGAAGCACCTCCACAACATGAGTTACTTAAAGAGAAAACTTTTCAAATTTGTTCCAGAAATTTCTTGAGAGATGCTAACATGAAGTTTATCTGTGTTGCCCCTGGTGTGTGTTGAGTCTGTGTTTTCCGAATCCTAGAAACTGCTGAGACCATTGCATGGGAAGTAAAAATGGGTGCTGATAGTAACAAAGGAATCTACTTCTCAGAATCTTTAGGTGGGCCTGTTGGTGAGGTCACTTTTCCCTAATGGTATATTCCAGTTCCTGTAGATCCTATTCCAGTTCCCAGGACATATTCCAACCTCGACCTCCAGCCAACTTTGAACCCCTGAAGTTGTGTGCTGATGTGTTTCTAACAACATGGTCTCACCCAAAGATCTTCCTCTTGTGCTTTTGCAGGACATTAAAGTTCCCAGCTCCATGACTGGATCACATGCTGGAAACCCTCATATAGAAAGGAATGATCTCCCCAGACATGGTTCTCCTCAATTTTTTACAGGGAGTACTTGTGCTTCTACAAACCCATCTCAGTGTCTGGCAGCATTTCCTTATGTCCCTTGTCAATCTTTTCTTCCTTCACCTGTGAGAGGCATTTCAGACCCACCTCATGTCTCCTCCCTCTTGCACATTCATTCTTAATCTCTGAAATGATACTGCCCACATTGCTTCTCACGTCCGTCAATGAAAAAACTGACAGCTTTTAATTTCCGTTTTCTCACCTGTCCTTTGGCTCTTTACCCACTGTCATCAGACTCCCACTCAATTCTGCAAAATTGTCTTTCATTCAACGTCTTATTATATTGACCACTCTTTTCCTTTGTTTTCTGAATTATCTTTCTCTACTTCTTTGCCTTCTAGTGCTTTGGATTTCTTTTTTAGTTGTAAGATTTGGGTTTTTTGTAGAAAATAGTCAAAGTGAGAAGATGGGCAAATAGGAACAGCTCCAGTCTGCAGCTCCCAGCATGAGTGACGCAGAAGACGGGTGATTTCTTCATTTCCAACTGAAGTACTGGGTTCATCTCACTGGGGCTTGTCAGAGCATGAGCCGAAGCAGGGCAGGGCATCACATCACCTGGGAAGCACAAGGGGTCGGGGAATTCCCTTTGCTAGCCAAGGGAAGCCGTGACAAACGGTACCTGGAAAATAGGGACACTCCCACCCTAATACTGCAATTTTCCAACAGTTTTAGCAAATGGCAGACCAGGAGATTATATCCTGTGCCTGGCTTGGAGGGTCCCACACCCACAGAGCCTCACTCACACTCACTGCTAGCACAACAGCCTGAGATCAAACTGCAAGGCAGCAGCGAGGCTGGGGAAGGGGCATCTGCCATTGCTGAAGCTTGAGTAGGTAAACAAAGTGGCTGAGAAGCTTGAACTGGGGGTGGAGTCCACCACAGCTCAATGAGGCCTCTGTAGACTCCACCTCTGGACACAAGGCATAGCTGAACAAAAGGTAGCAGAAACTTCCACAGACTTAAATGTCCCTGTCTAACAGCTTTGAAGAGAGTAGTGGTCCTCCCAGCATGGAGTTTGAGATCTGAGAATGGACAGACTGTCTCCTCAATTGGGTCCCTGACCCCCGAGTAGCCTAACTGGGAGGCACCTCAGAGAAGGGGCCGACTGACTTCTCATACGGCCGGATGCCCCTCTGAGAATGAAGCTTCCAGAAGAAGGATCAGGAAGCAAAATTTGCCGTTCTGCAATATTTGCTGTTCTGCAGCCTCCGCTGGTGATACCCAGGCAAACAGGGTCCAGAGTGGACCTCCAGCAAACTCCAACAGACCTGGAGCTGAGGATCCTGACTCTTAGAAGGAAAACTAACAAACAGAAAGGACATCCACACCAAAACCCCATCTGTAGGTCACCATCATCAAAGACCAAAGGTAGATAAAACCACAAAGATGGGGAGAAACCAGAGCAGAAAAGCTGAAAATTCTAAAAATCAGAGAGTCTCTTCTCCTCCAGAGGAACACAGCTCCTTGCCAGCAACAGAACAAAGCTGGACGATCGGTAATAACAAAATCCTCTGAGCTGAAGGAGGATGTTCGAACCCATTGCAAAGAAGCTAAAAACCTTGAAAAAAGATTCGATGAATGGCTAACTAGAATAAACAGCTTAGAGAAGACCTTAAATGACCTGATGGAGCTGAAAACCATGGCATGAGAATTATGTGATGGATCCACAAGCTTCAGTAGCTGATTCAATCAACTGGAAGAAAGGGTATCAGTGATTGAAGACCAAATGAATGAAATGAACTGAGAAGAGAAGTTTAGAGAAAAAAGAGTAAAAAGAAATGAACAAAGCCTGCAAGAAATATGGGACTATGTGAAAAGACAAAATCTACGTCTGATTGGTGTACCTGAAAGTGACAGGGAGAATGGAACCAAGTTGGAAAACACTCTTCAGGAGATTATCCAGGAGAACTTCCCCAATCTAGCAAGGCAGGCCAACATTCAAATTCAGGAAATACAGAGAATGCCACAAAGATACTCCTCGAGAAGAGCAACTCCAAGACACATAATTGTCAGATTCACCAAAGTAGAAATGAAGGAAAAAATGTTAAGGGCAGTCAGAGAGAAAGGTCAGGTTACCCACAAAGGGAAGTCCATCAGACTAACAGTGGATTTCTCAGCAGAAACTCTATAAGCCAAAAGAGAGTGGGGGCCAATATTCAACATTCTTAAAGAAAATAATTTTCAACACAGAATTTCATATCCAGCCAAACTAAGCTTCAAAAGCAAAGGAGAAATAAAATCCCTTACAGACAAGCAAATGCTGAGAGATTATGTCACCACCCAGCCTGCCTTACAAGAGCTCCTGAAGGAAGCACTAAACATGGAAAGGAACAACCAGTACCAGCCACTGCAAAAGCATGCCAAATTGTAAAGACCATCGATGCTAGGAAGAAACTGCATCAACTAATGAGCAAAATAACTAGCTAACATCATAATGACAGGATCAAATTCACACATAACAATATTAACCTTAAATGTAAATGGGCTAAATGCTCCAATTAAAAGACACAGACTGGCAAATTGGATAAAGAGTCAAGACCCATCAGTGTGCTGTATTCAGGAGACCTATCTCGTGTGCAGAGAGACACATAGCCTCAAAATAAAGGGATGGAGGAAGATCTAACAAGCAAATGGAAAACAAAAAAAAGCAGGGGTGGCAATCCTAGTCTCTGATAAAACAGACTCTAAACCAACAAAGATCAAAAGAGACAAAGAAGGCCATTACATAATGGTAAAGGGATCAATTCAACAAAAAGAGCTAACTGTCCTAAACATATATGCACCCAATACAGGAGCACCCAGATTCATAAAGCAAGTCCTTAGAGACCTACAAAGAGACTTAGACTCCCACACAATAATAATGGGAGACTTTAACACCCCATTGTCAATGTTAGACAGATCAACGTGACAGAAAGTTAACAAGGATATCCAGGAATTGAACTCAGCTCTGCACCAAGCAGACCTAATAGACATCTACAGAATTCTCCACTCTAAATCAACAGAATATACACTCTTCTCAGCACCACATCGCACTTATTCCAAAATTGACCACATAGTTGGAAGTAAAGCACTCCCCAGCAAATGTAAAAAACAGAAATTATAACAAACTGTCTCTCATACCACAGGGCAATCAAACTAGAACACAGGATTAAGAAACTCACTCAAAACCGCTCAACTACATGGGAAACTGAACAACCTGCTCCTGAATGACTACTGGGTACATAACGAAATGAAGGCAGAAACAAAGATGTTCTTTGAAACCAATGAGAACAAAGACACAACATACCAAAATCTCTGGGACACATTTAAAGCAGTGTGTAGAGGGAAATTTATAGCACTAAATGCCCACAAGAGTAAGCAGGAAAGATCTAAAATTGACACCCTAACATCACAATTAAAAGAACTAGAGAAGCAAGAGCAAACACATTAAAAAGCCAGCAGAAGGAAATAAATAACTAAGATCAGAGCAGAACTGAAGGAGTCAGAGACACAAAAAACCCTTCAAAAAATCAATAAATCCAGGAGCTGGTTTTCTGGAAAGATCAACAAAACTGATAGATCACTAGCAAGACTAATAAAGAAGAAAAGAGAGAAGAATCAAATAGATGCAATAAAAAATGATAAAGAGGATATCACCACCAATCCCACAGAAATACAAACTACCATTAGAGAATACTATAAACTCCTCTGCAAATAAACTAGAAAATCTAGAAGAAATGGATAAATTCCTGGACACATACACCCTCCCAGGACTAAACCAGGCAGAATTTGAATCCCTGAATAGACCAATAACAGGCTCTGAAATTGAGGTGATAATTAATAGCCTACCAACCAAAAAAAGCCCAGGACCAACAGATTCACAGATGAATTCTACCAGAGGTACAAAGAGGAGCTGGTACCATTCCTTCTGAAACTATTCCAATCTATAGAAAAAGAGGGAATCCTCCCTAACTCCTTTTATGAGGCCAGCATCATCCTGATACCAAAGCCTGGCAAAGGCACAACAACAAAAGAGAATTTTAGACCAATATCCCTGATGAACATTGATGCAAAAATCCTCAGTAAAATATTGGCAAACCAAATCCAGCAGCACATCAAAAAGCTTATCCACCACGATCAAGTTGGCTTCATCCCTGGGATGCAAGGCTGGTTCAACATATGCAAATCAATAAACGTAATCCATCATATAAACAGAACCATATGATTATCTAAATAGATGCAGAAAAGGCTTTTGACATAATTCAGCAGCCCTTCGTGCTAAAAACTGTCAATAAGCTGGGTATTGATGGGATGTATCTCAAAATAATAAGAGCTATTTATGACAAACCCACAGCCAATATCATACTAAATGGGCAAAAACTGGAAGCATTCCCTTTGAAAACTGGCACAAGATAGGGAAGCCCTCTCTCACGACTCATATTCAACATAGTGTTGGAAATTCTGGCCAGGGCAGTCTGGCAAGAGAAAGAAATAAAGGATATTCAATTAGGAAAAGAGCAAGTCAAATTGACCCTGTTTGCAGATGACATGATTGTATATTTAGAAAACCCCATCGTCTCAGCCCAAAATCTCCTTAAGCTGATAAGCAACTTCAGCAAAATCTCAGGATACAAAATCAATGTGCAAAAATCACAAGCATTCGTATACATCAATAATAGACAAACAGAGAGCCAAATCAAGAGTGAACACTCATTCACAATTGCTTCAAAGAGAATAAAATACCTAGGAATCCAACTTACAAAGGATGTGAAGGACCTCTTCAAGGAGAGCTACAAACCTCTGCTCAATGAAATAAAAGAGGACACAAACAAATGGAAGAACATTCCATGCTCATGGATAGGAAGAATCAATATTGTGAAAATGGCCATACTGCCCAAGGTAATTTATAGATTCAATGCCATCCCCATCAAGCTCCCAATGACTTTCTTCACACAATTGGAAAAAACTACTTTAAAGTTCATATGGAACCCAAAAAGAGCCCATATTGCCAAGACAATCCTAAGCCAAAAGAACAAAGCTGGAGGCATCACGCTACCTGACTTCAAACTACACTACAAGGTTACAGTAACCAAAACAGCATGGTACTGGTACCAAAACAGAAATATAGACCAATGGAACAGAACAGAGCCCTCAGAAATATTACCACACATCTGCAACCACCTGATCTTTGACAAACCTGACAAAAACAAGCAACGGGGAAAGGATTCCCTATTTAATAAAAGGTGCTGGGAAAACTGGCTAGCCATATGTAGAAAGCTGAAACTGGATCCCTTCCTTACACCTTATACAAAAATTAATTCGAGATGGATTAAAGGCTTAAATGTTAGACCTAAAACTGTAAAAACCCTAGAAGAAAACCTAGGCAATACCATTCAGGACATAGGCATGGGCAAGGACTTCATGACTAAAACACAAAAAGCAATGGCAACAAAAGCCAAAATTGACAAATGGAATCTGCACAGGAAAAGAAACTACCGTCGGAGTGAACAGGCAACCTACAGAATGGGAGAAAATTTTTATAATCTACCCATCTGACAAAGGGCTAATATCCAGAATCTACAAAGAACTTAAACAAATTTACAAGAAAAAAATCAAACAACCCCATCAAAAAGTGGGCAAAGGTTATGAACAGACACTTCTCAAAAGAAGACATTTATGCAGCCAACAGACATGAAAAAGTGGTCATCATCTCACACCAGTTAGAATGGCAATCATTAAAAAGTCAGGAAACAACAGGTGCTGGAGAGGATGTGGAGAAATAGGAACACTTTTATGCTGTTGGTGGGACTGTAAACTAGTTCAACCATTGTGGAAGACAGTGTGGCGATACCTCAAGGATCTAAAACTAGAAATACCTTTTGACCCAGCCATCCCATTGCTTGGTATATACCCAAAGGATTATAAATCATGCTGCTATAAAGACACATGCACACGTATGCTTATTGTGGCACTACTCACAATAGCAAAGACTTGGAACCAAGCCAAATGTCCATCAATGATAGACTGGATTAATAAAATGTGGGCCAGGCACAGTGGCTCATGCCTGTAATCCCAGCACTTTGGGAGGTTAAGGGAGGCAGATCACAAGGTTAGGAGATCCAGACCATCCTGGCTAACATGGTGAAACCCCATCTCTACTAAAAATACAAAAAAAAAAATTAGCCAGGTGTGGTGGTGGGCAGCTGTAGTCCCAGCTACTGGGGAGGCTGAGGCAGGAGAATGATGTGAACCCGGGAGGCAGAGCTTGCCGTGATCTGAGATTGCGCCACTGCACTCCAGCCTGGGCAACTGAGCGAGACTCCGTCAAAAAAATAAAAATGAAAATGTGGCACATATACACCATGGAATATTATGCAGCCATAAAAAAGGATGAGTTCCTGTCCTTTGTAGGGACATGGATGAGGCTGGAACCATCATTATGAGCAAACTATCTCAAGGACAGAAAACCAACACTGCATGTTTTCACTCATAGGTGGGAATTGAACAATGAGAATACTTGGACACAGGGTGAGGAACATCACACACCAGGGCCTGTCGTGGGGTGGGGGGAGGGGGAAGGAGATATACCTAATGTAAATGACAATTTAATGGGTGCAGCACACCAACATGGCACATGTATACATATGTAACAAACCTGTACATTGTGCACATGTACCCTAGAACTTAAAGTATAATAAAAATAAATAAATAAATAAATGGAAAATAGTCAAAGCTTTTTGTGGGCAAATGTTCTGAGAAGTTCTTATTTTACTCTTTAGTTTTATCCTGATCTGTGTTCTCACTGGAAACACACCTACTTGGGAAATGTATTTTATTTCAATTAGGCATGAAATTAGCTCAATTACTCTTCAAAGAGAAAATCCTTTTATTTACAATCTTTGGCTTGCAGTGTTTTAGGTAGATGGAATATGTTGTGTATAGAGTGTGTTTTGTGTGTGTGTGTGTGTGTGACAGAGAGGAGAGAGAGGGAAAACGAAATGCAAACTATTTCATAATTATATTTCTGTCTTGAGCAAGTGAAATGATTCAAATCAGACTGTAGGACTGGATGCTGCTTAACTGTGATTTTCCTGTTCAGTATATTTCACATGATGGCTGATGTCTTACCTGTTGGATATGAGCAAATAAGGCAGGCTTTGTAAAAACTTGCCAACTGGCAGTTTGACCAGACTTCATTAATTGATTTAATGGGCCACAAATTATATAAACCCAGGAACATATCCCCTGGATTTGCTGTAAAACCTGTCATATTCATTCGGTTGATACATTTTAATACTTAAGGTGAACCATAAAACTACTCAGAAGTGACCAAAATACCATTTTATTCTAAAAATATTCAGTTGGTGATGTCAAACACACGTGAGCTACTTATTTTTCTTTTATGTTAATTAAAAATATATAAATAGGTTTCTCATGCAGAGCTTAGAAGTTGCCAATGTGGAAGGAAAATACATCTTGCGACTCTCAAATCACTAGGCTAAAGGGAAAAGTCAAGCTGGGAACTGCTTAGGGCCAACCTGCCCCCCATTCTATTCAAAGTCACCCCTCTACTCAATGAGATAAATGCATATCTGATCGCCTTATTTGAAGAGGCTCATCAGAAACTCAAAAGAATATAACCATTTGCCTCTTATCTACCTATGACCTGGAAGTCCCCTCTCTGCTTCGAGTCTTCCCTCTTTTGCTTCCAGTTGTCCCACCTTTCCAGACTAAACCAAAGTTCATTGTGCATATGTTGATTGACGTCTCATGTCTCCCTAGAATGTGTGAAAACAAACTGTGCTCTGAATCCCTTGGGCACATATCGTCAGGACTCCCTGGGGCTGTGTCACAGGCACCCATCTTCAACCTTGGCAAAATAAACTTTCAAAATTAACTGAGACCAGTCTCAGATTATCAGGGTTCACACCACTGTAACCTAACGACTAAAAACCTAACAGAAAAATCAATAACTCTTCTTAAATCCGTCAAAGAGGTGAGCTCACAGGAAAAGCCACGGTCCCAAAACTTGGAGAGACAGATAGGTGCATACAGAGAATCACAACCTACCAGAGCAGAAAACCTGTAAGCAGAAACCTGCACAGGAACCACTGCCAGAAGAGGGAAGCCTAACCTGCAATTAACAAATTATGAGAGGCTCAGAATGGACAAGGCTGAGAGTGAACATTGCCAGGGAGACTCGAGCATAAGGAAGTCCCTACACTTTTGTGAGCTTTACCTCTAGGAGCTTTCTCAGGGAGACAGAGCAATTATGGAAGAAAAATCCCCTCATGAATTCTGAAGCAGAAGGGAAAAAGGAACCGTTCTGAGATACAGCATAGCATTCTGCTCTTCTTTACAAGGTCTGCCTCAGGAAAAACTAGGTAACCAGAGCCTATCCTGCTGGGGTTTTTTCATCAGAGGCTACCTGACCTGGAGGAAGAGAAATAACCAGGCCAGCTCCTTTAGTTCACCCTGTCCTTCCTAAGAAGGCAAAGACTGAGAAGCACCGGTGAAGCACACAGTCCAGGGGCACAAGCTCACCAAAAAGCTGACACCTAATCACAAAACCACAGAACACTTCTGATGCAGTTTGGCTCTGTGTCCACACTCACATCTCATGTCAAATTGTCATCCCCACATGTCAGGGGTGAGACCTAGTGGGAGGTAATTGGATCATGGGGGAAGATTTCTTCATGCTTTTATCATGATAGTGAGTGAATTC